>NT_187499.1:0-168472 GCF_000001405.40 Homo sapiens | reverse complement strand
GAATTCCATTGTATGTTCACTCTACCATTTAAAACAAGAGCTCTTGTAGGCATTCTCCAACACATCATAAACCTGAGCTTTCTAAAACAGGGTGTGGCAAACTACCATTCATGGGCCATGTCTGACATAGTCTGCGTTTGTAAGAAAAGTTGTAATGGGACACAGCCACATACATGTGTTTCATAATGTCTCTGGCTACTTTCATGGTATAACGGAAGAGCTGAGTCATTGAGAGAGGGACCACATGGCTTGGAAAACTTAAAATATTTAACATTTAGCCCTTCGCAGAAAATATTTGCTGACTCTTGTTTTTAAAGATCTCTGTTTAGAATGCTAACTATTGCCTTCTGGATAGAATCACAACTCTTTACCACAATCAACACAGCTTCAACCCTGCTTCTATATCCAGCCTCATCTATTATTTCCGCTCCTCCTCCTTATTTTCCTTCTGGCCATGCTGATGGATTGTCAGCTTCCCGGATGTGCAAGAATCTCTCCTCCTTTCCCGACATTCTCATGTTCTCCCTCTGCCTCTCAAGAACTTCCTGTCCCATCTCTCATGACGAATCTCTTCTTCATTCTTTAAGATGCAGCTCCTTTGCTCCTTCCTTAAAGATGTCTGTCTGGCTCTATTTTGGGTGACATGCTCCTTCTGCATCTTCCAGAGCCAGCCTGTGTGTGTCAGCTACAGCATTTATTTGCATCTCTGTGTCATATATCACCAAATCTGCCTAAGCTTGCGTGAGTCACTGCATGACAACTTCAGCCTCCGCCAGCATTGTCCCCACTAACCATGAGGCTTAGATATTTGTCCAGTATGCTCGGGGTTGTGGAGTGGTAGCAGTAACCAACTGGTGAGCATCATTTCTTACATCAGAATCAAATCTGTAGATCTCTGCAATTCATAAGTATTTGGAGTTTAAAATTAGCATAAAGATTTTCTTTAAAATAAGAACAAATGGCTTGAGTAGGCTTTTGGAATGTATAATACTTCTGCTGGCTCCTTTCAGTGTTCAGTATTCCCACATGAATCTAAACACAACTCTGCTCTTAGTAGCTGTGTGACCCTGGGAAAGTCACTCAATCTCCCTCAGCTAAATTTTGTTGTGTGAGTAATGAGAAGAGAGTTGTGATTTGTATTTAGTGAGTAATAACAAACAAAAGGCATTTAGCTTTCTGGAACCTGGTATGTAGTAGATCCTCATGAAATACTAACTCTGTTGATAAAACTAGACTGAAAGAAGCTTTCAAAGTCAACAGCAGTATCATGCAGGGAAGGATGTAGATGAGAAGCTGCTGCTGCTGCTGCTGCAGCCTACAGCTCCTGGAGGCCCGTTTTGTCCATGATTTAGCAGGAATGCACTACCTTTCCATGAGGAGACACTGCCCACAGAAACCAAGGCCATTCTTTGAAGACAAACATGTTTTAATAGTCTTTACATTATGTAATAGTGTAATATAAATAATAATTTATTTACATTATTCTGTTATAACTTTTGTACAGAGCTTTACACCTAGATATTCTGAAGTTGGTGGTCTGTGAGTGGCATCAAGTGGTGAGTGACACACTCTGACCTTGGGTAGAACAACACGTGCCCCTGCAGTTTGCTGAATTTCAGGGCATCACCACCTGTTTTCAAGAGTGTTTTTTCCTATCCTCTAGAGTTTTGCCCACTTAAGCAATGGTTTTACTGTAATAAAGAATTACACTATTTATCAAAATATTACTTTGGAGAATACCGGTTCACATAGTTCATTTTCAAGTTTTCTTAAACTATCAGGCCCATAACTAATGCCAGTGGCTCCAAGGATGAGAAGGTAAAAAGGTCTTTTTTTTGGGGGGGGGGGGGCCAAGGCAAAAAAACACCACATTTCAAACTTTACCGTCTCATGCTAGTCCCTGGAAAATTAGAAGTGAACACACTCCCCTCCCAGCCCAATCACAGCTAACGAATAACCAAGATCTCCCGCAGGTGCCTTTGTCTTGGCTTTGTGAGCCTGGAGTTGCTGGCCGGCACTGGGCAGCAGGCAGCAGAGCTGGTCCCATTTCTCCATGCTTTACCCACTCTTTGGGGGACACAGGCACATTGAACAACCTGGGTCCTGGCCTGGCGCTGGCTGGGAAGCTATTTGATGTCAGGCTGAATGTGGACTTCTGAGTTGAAAAGAGAGTATGGGTCACCCTGCCCCACTTACTCATTTTACCAAGAACGAAAATGGGGATCTATTCCAGACATGATAGTATACATTGTAAGGCTGTGCAAGCTTGCTGCACTTGTATCCACTCAGCACACACTTACTGAGTGCCAAGTGTCTCCAGCATGAAAGGCGCTCTAGTTCCCGGGGTCCCACCCTCCACAGAGGACAGCAGCACCTTGAGGGACGGAGGTGCAAAGAGCAAGGTGGGGGCTCTTCTGCTGGAGAGGCAGCTAGGGAGGGTCCTTAGAAGAAGTGACAGCTGAGTTCTTCTCTGAAGGGTGAAGCTGAATTACTTGAAGCTTAGGGTGAAGGGGTGTCCAGGGAAGTGGAGCCTGTGAGCCAAAAGCATAATGACTTGTCCAGAGAAGTGTAACAAGTTCCATATTGTTTCTATGCCAAATCTGCACAAGAGTCACCACAGGAAAGAGCAGGATCCTGGAGCCAGGGCCTTGGATTTCACCTGCTGGCAATGGAAATGTTCACTGGGAATTTTGGGGGGCAAAACATGAAAATGTTTCATCTTAGCTCCAATTCTCTGTCTCTCTGTCTCTTTCTGTCCCTCTCTCTCTCCTTTATCTTTAATTTTTGTATTATCCTAAGAAAACACAGATGTCTCAGACATGGGGATTAGCAGCCTGCCTCTTTCTGGATGACTTCAGGGGAGCACTTCAGCCTCTGTGAGCTTATTTACAATAATTCACAAATCTTGCCAAAAAAAAAGTCATGGTAGCAGAGTTTAGAAAATCTCCTAGTGTTTCTTCTGACACTTTGAATTTATGATTAATATGTTTAATCTTCATCTTCTGAAAAGTCACCAGTTACACAGTCAGGACCATAAAGGGAGTCTGTTTCTGTGGTTTGTGGCTTCAACAGTCAAAGGTTTTGCAGCAACAGCATTGCATGTGGGTTTTAGGCTGATGATGCTCAACAGTGGACAATTCTCTTCACCTGCCTGGGCCCCACTGCCCGCCCTTCCAAACAGTGCAGGGTCACAGCTGAGCTCTCTGAGACACCTCACAGGATCTCAGCTTCTAAACTATCAAGTGTCTTCTAGGTGAAGGCTTGGTCTCATAGCCTTTGTGGTTTCCTCCAGGTAACACTTGGTTTTCTGACCTAACCCTGGTATATGTGTGACACATGTGTGAATGTGCTCCCTGTGGCAGCGCTGAGGAAGGACTCAGTCATCACAGATGCTGAAAGGCAAATGCAGTGTGCTTTTTTCCAACATCTCCAGTCTTGTATTATTTTTACCCATCAGCCCATTTGAAAAAGAAAAAAAAAAGCCTCCTGTTAGAATTAAATCCCCTCTGGAGATAATGAGTATTTTTTAAATCTTTCATTTTTTTTATATAGTCATGTTTGCTCCCAGTTCCTGCCAGGATCCACTAGAGGGCAGAGACACCTGTGTGTATTTGTGTAGCACTTGCTGAGTGGTAATAAAAACAGATACCCTGCCCTCCCAGAGCCAACCTCCAGTGCCAGGGCAAGCAGCAGCAAGTAAGAAAACCTTGGTTTCTGTATCTGCATCAGCTACACAGTGCTTGCACACAGGAGATATCAGCCAGTTTTCTCAGTTAAAGAGACAGAAACAAAATGTGTCCTCACTACTTTTTGAATTTACCATGTTATCTAATATTTTAACTTAATTGAATGAATAAACTCCCTATGCATCTGGACACATGCATGGAAAATTCACAAACATTCCAAACCAAAACAGAGTATTTTGCCAAAAGAAAATTTCTTAGATATGTGAAGTTCACTTTTTTCTTTTAGTGATTTTAATGTAATGAAATTGAAAACTCTGTGCTTCTAAAAGACTTTTTAAGGAGCACGGTATTTTTCCATTTTGAAAAAAAATTGGCAAAATATCTTCTAATATAGATAGAAGGTAATTGGCTGAGGGTAATAAACAGAAGATTAAAAAACAACCTTTATCCCCTGATATTCTGTCAAGGGCTACAGTGAATTACACACCCTGGCATGGGTTTGTACACCATGTGCTGGAAGCCAGCAGTCATGCAGGCCATGCTCTCCCACACTTAGAAAAGAAGCCCATAATTTGAGATGACATGATTATATATTTAGAAAACCTCATCATCTCTGCCCAAAATCTCCTTACGCTGATAAGCAACTTCAGCAAAGTCTCAGGACACAAAATCAATGTGCAAAAATCACAAGCATTCTTATACACCAATAACAGACAAACAGAGAGCCAAATCATGAGTGAACTCCCATTCACAATTGCTTCAAAGAGAATAAAATACCTAGGAATCAAACTTACAAGGGATGTGAAAGACTTCTTCAAGGAGAACTACAAACCACTGCTCAATGAAATAAAAGAGGACACAAACAAATGGAACAACATTCCATGCTCATGGATAGGAAGAATCAATATCATGAAAATGGCCATACTGCCCAAGGTAATTTATAGATTCAATGCCATTTGCATCAAGCTACCAATGAATTTCTTTGCAGAATTGGAAAAAACTACTTTAAAGTTCATATGGAACCAAAAAAGAGCCTGCATTGCCAAGACAATCCTAAGCCGAAAGAACAAACCTGGAGGCATCACACTACCTGAATTCGAACTATACTACAAGGCTACAGTAACAAAAACAGATTGGTATTGGTACCAAAACAGAGATATACACCAATGGAACAGAGCAGAGCCATCAGAAATAATACCACACATCTACAACTATCTGATCTTTGAGAAACCTGACAAAAACAAGCAATGGGGAAAGGATTCCCTATTTAATAAATGGTGCTTGGAAAACTGGCTAGCCATACATAGAAAGCTGAAACTGGATCCCTTCCTTACACTTTATACAAAAATTAATTCAAGATGGATTAAAGACTTACATGTTAGACCTAAAACCATAAAAACCCTAGAAGAAAACCTAGGCAATACCATTCAGGACATAGGCATGGGCAAGGACTTCATGCCTAAAACACCGAAAGCAATGGCAACAAAAGCCAAAATGCACAAATGGGATCTAATTAAACTAAAGAGCTTCTGCACAGAAAAAGAAACTACCATCAGAGTGAACAGGCAACCTACAGAATGGGAGAAAATTTTTGCAATCTACCCATCTGACAAAGGACTAATATCCAGAATCTACAAAGAACTCAAATTTATAAGAAATAAAACAAACAACCTCATCAAGAAGTGGGCAAAGGATATGAACAGACACTTCTCAAAAGAAGGCATTTTGTGCAGCCAACAGACACGTGAAAAAATGCTCATCACTGGCCATCAGAGAAATGCAAATCAAAACCACAATGAGATACCATCTCACACCAGTTAGAATGGCGATCATTAAAAAGTCAGGAAACAACAAGTGCTGGAGAGGATGTGGAGAAATAGGAACACTTTTACACTGTTGGTGGGACTGTAAACTAGTTCAACCATTGTAGAAGATGGTGTGGTGATTCCTCAAGGATCTAGAACTAGAAATACCATTTGACCCAGCCATCCCATTACTTGGTATATACCCAAAGGATTATAAATCATGCTGCTATAAAGACACATGCACACGTATGTTTATCGCAGTGCTATTCACAACAGCAAAGACTTGGAACCAACCCAAATGTCCATCAATGATAGACTGGATTAAGAAAATGTGGTACATATACACCATGGAATACTGTGCAGCCATAAAAAAGGATGAGTTCATTTCCTTTGTAGGGGCATGGATGAAGCTGGAAACCATCATTCTCAGCAAACTATCACAAGCACAAGAAACCAAACACTGCATGTTCTCACTCATAGGTGGGAATTGAACAATGAGAACACTTGGACACAGGAAGGGGAACATCACACACCGGGGCCTGTTGTGGGGTGGGGGAAGGGGGGAGGGAAAGCATTAGGAGATATACCTAATGTAAATGACGAGGTAATGGGTGTAGCACACCAACATGGCACATGTATACATATGTAACAAACCTGCACGTTGTGCACATGTACCCTAGAACTTAAAGTATAATAATAAAAAAAAGAGTGAAAAAAATAAAGAAGCCCATGAGAAAGATCTCCATCAAGTTCACGCGGAATGAACTCCAGCAAGACCTGGAAAATGCTCAGTTCCACAAAATATCTGCGTCCAAATACTTTGAGTGCACAGCTCTGGCATCAGGTTACTGTGAGGACAGACCCTGAGATGGATTTCTGGATGGAGGCTGCTGCTGGAGGAGACAATGTCACTGCAGATGGCTCATGCTGCTCCCATGCTGCAGGGGCCAGTGATTTGGGGCTCCCACCTGCTGTCCCGTTGGGGAACTGCGGAGATTCACCCCAGCTGGGTGGACTCTGCTGTGTCTCCTGTCAAGAATCTCTTCAGCTTACCTTGGTTTTTCCTTTTTAAATACTCTCTGGTGTTTTCCTCTCCAGTGGGGGCTGCATCTCACCTTAGAAGAAAAGATTTTCCAACTAGGGGCTGTCTTGGTAGCTGGTCCAGAAGAAGGTCTCCTCTCTCTGGAGTGAGGTCCAGCCAAGTAACTCCAGCCAGAACTCTCACTGAGTGCGGCTGGATCTGCCCTGCTCTCCTCCCATCCTCCTGTGGACTGTGGAAACCCATCCATGCCCTATGCAAAGTCCTGCATCTCAGACTGTAAAATGGCAGAAGCTGAATTTAAAATAAATGATTATATTGACTCTATGAGGGAAACAGAGTTCTGAGGTAGGCAATTGGTAAGCAAGCAATTATGTGTAACTTGTTAGAACACTAGGGTGTTTTTTGTCTTACTGATTATTTTCTGGTTAACAGGCTGGCTAGGAGCCAGAGGGAGAGAAAGCTGGCTGGGAATTGAGAGGCATGAAGTCACCTCAGTCCCAACATTTCCATGTAAATGATGATGCGAGATGGGCTGGTGGCAGGAGTCCCTGGAAATCCTCACAATCTCAGCTTTTAACTTCTGTAAAATATTATGTCATTTATGATCTCTTTAACAAATAACTTTTTTTCTAATTATAAAAGTGTATATTCTCTTTGGAGGATCTTTGGTAAATATAAAATGAGTTATAAGAAAAAGAAAAATTCATAATTTTATCACTCAAATTTTGATAATTATATTCCTGCACTTTTAATGAAATGTAGAAATTTTAGATTATACTGTACATAAAATGTTTCTGTTTTTTCATCCAATATTGGATCATAAACGTCTTACATGGCATAAACTATATATGTAAATCAACTATTTCCACACCTGGATGCTTGATTTAACCCTCCTTATACTGTTAGCCATTTAAATGATTTCTACTTTATCCTATGAATAACACTTCCACCAGTTATTATTCTTATATATAACTCATTCAATCATTTCATAATCTTGTTGAGCATTTATTTATAATTTGGTTGCCTATTACCTGAGTGGATTGTGGTTATATGTTTATATGCTTATTCCAAATATAGTGCTAAGATTAGCATTAGAGACAGCAAAATATTTACAGGTTTTGAAACTAGAAGGAGCCAAACAAATCCATGATCCAGCTCTGCATACTCTCACCCAGCCTTAGTTCTCTCACACAGAAAGTGAAGACAGTGCTATTTGCCTTGTGGCATTGCTGTGAACTTAAAGAAGGCACCGATTGTACACACAGCAGTGCGCAGACCGTGGAAGGCTGGGCTCCGACCAACTCTAAGGACAATCACCATCGGATGCCCCACGATCCTACTCTCAGGATGCCCATATGCCATATGCCATGTGAGTGTCACTCAGTGAACACATATTTGTTGATTATAAATTACTCCCATGCTGTTTTCTTTGTTTTACATGTTCACAAATCTGTAAAAACAAAGTTACAATTATGAAATTAAAAGTTAACTAAAGGAGGAGATTTTCATTATCTCTGAAATGTAACCCCCCAAATCCAGATTATAAAGCAAGGAAATGTCTTATGGCCCAACACTTGCCATCAATACTTTTTTTATGTTAGTGGGCAGGGGAGGGTAGTGAAAATGAAGGAATCAGAGCTCCGATGGGTGCACATTGTCTTCCCTACAAATCCATTGCTTGTCCAGCCTTCCTTCCTCATTGGGGCTGCTCTATCCTTTTCCACACATTTGAACTGCTCCCCTGTAGGCCTTTCTCATTTGCTTTACTTCCTAGTCTGAATTCCATGGGACCCACATTTAAGGAGAGGGGAACAACTCTGGGACTGGAGGAAGTTCACCTTATGAGTTATACCTGCCTCCTTCCTCTACAGTGAACGGTCTCTGGTGTCCCTGGGTGTTCAGTTTCTTTCCACTCATGTGTTACTGACTGTTCAGGTGGCAAATGGCCCATGACCTTTATGGGATTAAAAAGAAAAAAAATAAAAAGCTGTGTTTCTTTTTTTTTAACTTTTATTTTAGGTTAGGGGGTACACGGGAGGGTTTGTTATACAGTTAAATATGTGTCACAGGGGTTTGTTGTACCTGTTATTTCATCATCCAGGTATTAGGCCCAGTATCCAATAGTTATCTTTTCTGCTCCTCTCCCTCCTCCCACCCTCCCCCCATCAAGTAGACCCCAGTGTCTTTTGTTTCCTTCTTTGTGTTCACAAGTTCTTATCATTTAGCTCCCACTTATAAGTTAGAACATGCTGTATTTGGTTTTCTATTCCTGCGTTAGTTTGCTAAGGATAATACCCATCAGCTTCATCCATACTAATGCAAAAGACATAATCTCATTCTTTTTTATGGCTGCATATTATTCCATGGTGTATATGTAGCACATTTTCTTTATCCAATCCGTGACTGATGAGTATTTGGGTTGATTCTATGTCTTTGCTATTGTGAATAGTGCTGCAATGAACATTTGCATGCATGTAACTTCATGGTAGAATGATTTATATTCATCTGGGTATATAACCAGTAATGGGATTGCTAGGTCAAATGTTGTAGTTCTGCTTTTAGCTCTTTGAGGAATCACCATACTGCTTTCCACCACAGTTGAATTAACTTACACTCCCACCAATGGTGTATACATGTTCACTTTTCCCTGCAACCTTGCCAACTTCTGTTAGTTTTTTACTTTTTAGTAATAGCCATTCTGACTGGTGTGAGATGGTGCCTCACTGTGGTTTTGATGAGCATTTCTCTAGTGATCAGTGATCTAGAGCTTTTTTCCATATGCTTGTTTGCCACGTTTGCCTTTTTTTTTTTTTTTTTTTTTTTTTCTTAGCCCGAGTCTCGCTCTGTCACCCAGGCCAGAGTGCAGTGGTGTGATCTCAGCTAACTGCAAGCTCTGCCTCCTTGGTTCACGCCATTCTCCTGCCTCAGCCTCCCAAGTAGCTGGGACTACAGGTGCCTGCCACCACACCCGGCTAATTTTTTGTATTTTTAGTAGAGACGGGGTTTCACCATGTTAGTCAAGATGGTCTCAATCTCCTGACGTTGTGATCCACCCTCCTTGGCCTCCCAAAATGCAGGAATTACAGGCGTGAGCCACCACGCCCAGCACACATGTTTGTCTCCTTTGGAGAAGTGTCTCTTTATGTCCTTGGCCCACTTATTAATGGGGTTGTTTTTCTCTTGTAAATTTGTTTAAGTTCCTTATAGATGCTGGATATTAGACCTTTGTCAGATGCATAGTTTGTAAATACTTTCTCCCAATCTGCAAGTTGCCTGTTTACTTTGTTGATAGTTTCTTTTGCTGTGTAGAAGCTCTTTAGTTTAACTAGATCCCACTTGTCAATTTTTGCTTTCATTGCTATTGCTTTTGTTGTCTTTGTCATGAAATCTTTGCCTGTTCTTATGTCCAGGATGGTATTGCCTAGGTTGTCTTCCAGGGTTTTTATATTTTTGGGTTTTACACTTAAGTCTTTAATCCATCCTGAGTTCATTTTTGTGTATGGTGTAAGAAAGGGGCCCAGCTCAATCTTCAGCATGTGGCTAGCCAGTTATCCCAGCACCATTTATTGAACGGAGTCTTTTCCCCATTGCTTGTTTGTCAGAAAAGCTATTCCTAAGGCTTTGCCCAACATACCTGTAACTTTTGACCATATCTTTCCCCTGGTCAATAGGCTCCAGGAAATGGGACAGGATGCTTGGAAATAAAGAGCTAACCCTGAGACAATGCAGGTGAACACAGACTAGCTGCTGCATAATAAGTAAACAAAATATGTGTCTTTCATTCAATATTAAACAATGATAGACTGAGTATTTAAGCATGTTACCATTACAGGTATGCAAGTGCCTAACTATGACTTAAATTGTAGAGCCTCAGATTTTAGATCTGGAAGAGCCATGGGTTTTAATCCATGCTGGGAGAGGCTCAAGCTTACTCTGGAGAAACACATAGTTTGGGGAGGCTGGAGACCGAGGGGTGGGCTCCCATTCCCCAGGTCCTTCAATGAGTCTGATCTATTTTATAAATCAGTTATTGGAAAACGATTCAAACAACTCAGCCCAATTCCCTATTATTTGGTCTAGGCCATCAGCCCTCAGGCTTCTTGCCACTGCAGCTGTGGGCTCCCACTCTCCACCTGCTCTCCTGCTCAGGTTGGGGCAGCCAAAGACCTTCTCTTCCTGGGGAGAGAGGTTAGGGAGGGACCATTTTTTGATTATTTGAGGGTGTGGTTCAGTTGTAAACAGTGTAAATTTTAGAATTTGTGTTATTGTGATGGCAATGACCAACTGCAAAATATTTCCCATTTGCCTTGTAATAACAAGAGCATGTACTTTACGCAATTGAAGTTTTTGGACCCTACTTATTTACTTTACTTTATTAAGAATAGTAACATTTGAGCAGAGAAGAGTTCTAATTTTGCATCAGAGTCAAAAGTGAAAATGAAAGGAACTGACCCATGAAGGAACAGGTGTGAGCTATTTACTTCATTCCTGCCCATCCTGGTTGATGTTGAGCTCTTGCCCTGCATCCCACTTTCAAATGTGGTGGATGCCTCACCTAGGAAAGGCCCTCACCACGCTGGCTTGCTCTGCTCACTAACTGTACTTACTTCTCTTAATCCCCTATGAACACTCTTTTCTAGGTTGGGTGTGTTTTCCGTAATAAAAAGGTATTGTTGCACCACTTATTCAGGGCTTTTTGGATGCCATGCTAAGCATTTCATAGTCATGAGTTCATTGTATAAACTACCCTTTATAACACTCCTATGAATTCATATTCCCATATGAATTGGTCTGAGGAAGTGGCATGCTGGAGAGATTAAGTAATTGAATGACAGCTTACAGTTAATTACTGAGGGGATTTGGGTTTGGACATAGATCTGTGATTCAAACACTCATGTCTATAACCACAAGTGCTGCCACATCATTTGCATCAGGATTAAGAATCCCTGCTGGCAGGCCTGGGAAGACGCATTGTAACCAGATAAGAGGTAATTACCACATTTACTGAGTGGTGAGAACCACTGTACTGCCTTTCAGAGAATGCCAGGCGCCCCTGTGTTTGTCTCAGTGTCTCCAGCTTGAATTGCTTCACCCCTGGCTCTCAGCAATGCTGCTCCTCTCTCCTGCATGGATCACCTGTTCCTGGAATTCATTCTCCCATTTCTTAGGTTGCATCCCTGTCTTGTGCCAGTTTTCAAAGTGAATGCTTCCTGTTTTTGCCCATTCAGCATGATATTGGCTGTGGGTTTTTCATAAATAGCTCTTATTATTTTGAGATACATCCCATCAATACCTAGTTTATTGAGAGTTTTTAGCATGAAGGCTGTTGAATTTTGTCGAAGGCCTTTTCTGCATCTATTGAGATAATCATGTGGTTTTTGTCTTTGGTTCTGTTTGTATGATGGATTACATTTATTGATTTGCATATGTTGAACCAGCCTTGCATCCCAGGGATGAAGCCAACTTGATCATGGTAGATAAGTTTTTTGATGTGCTGCTGGATTTGGTTTGCCAGCATTTTATTGAGGATTTTTGCATCGATGTTCATCAGGGATATTGGTCTAAAATTCTCTTTTTTTTTGTTGTGCCTCTGCCAGGCTTTGGTATCAGGATAATGCTGGCCTCATAAAATTAGTTAGGGAGGATTCCCTCTTTTTCTATTGATTGGCATAGTTTCAGAAGCGATGGCACCAGTTCCTCTTTGTACCTCCGGTAGAATTCAGCTGTGAATCCATCAGGTCCTGTACTTTTTTTGGTTGGGAGGATATTAATTATTGCCTCAATTTCAGAGTCTGTTATTGGTCTTTTCAGGGATTCAACTTCTTCCTGGTTTAGTCTTGGGAGGGTGTATGTGTCCAGGAATTTATCCATTTCTTCTAGATTTTCTACTTTATTTGTGTAGAGGTGTTTATAGTATTCTCTGATGGTAGTTTGTATTTCCGTGGGATGGGTGGTGATATCCCTTTTATCATTTTTTATTGCATCTATTTGATTCTTCTCTCTTTTCTTCTATATTAGTCTTGCTAGCAGTCTATCAATTATGTTGATCTTTTCAAAAAACCAGCTCCTGGATTCATTGCTTTTTTGAAGGGTTTTTTGTGTCTCTATCTCCTTCAGTTCTGCTCTGATCTTATTTCTTGCCTTCTGCTAGCTTTTGAATGTTTGCTTTTGCTTCTCCAGTTCTTTTAATTGTGATGTTAGGGTGTAATTTTAGATATTTCCTGCTTTCTCTTGTGGGCATTTAGTGCCATAAATTTCCCTCTACACACTGCTTTAAATGTGTCCCAGAGATTCTGGTATGTTGTGTCTTGGTTCTCACTGGTTTCAAAGAACATCTTTATTTCTGCCTTCATTCTGTTATGTACCCAGTAGTCATTCAGGAGCAGGTTGCTCTGTTTCCATGTAGTTGAGTGGTTTTGAGTGAGTTTCTTAATCCTGAGTTATAGTTTGATTGCACTGTGGTCTGAGAGATAGTTTGTTACAATTTCTGTTCTTTTACATTTGCTGAGAAGTGCTTTACTTCCAAATATGTGGTCAATTTTGGAATAAGTGCGATGTGGTGCTGAGAAGAATGTATATTCTGTTGATTTGGGGTAGAGAGTTCTGTAGATATCTATTAGGGCCGCTTGGTGCAGAGCTGAGTTCAATTCCTGGATATCCTTGTTAACTTTCTGTTTCGTTGATCTGTCTAATGTTGATAGTGAGGTGTTAAAGTCTCCCGTTATTTTTGTGTGGGAGTCTAAGTCTCTTTGTAGGTCTCTAAGGACTTGCTTTATGAATCTGGGTGTTCCTGTATTGGGTGCATATATATTTAGGATAGTTAGCTCTTCTTGTGGAATTGATCCCTTTACCATTATGTAATGGCTTTCTTTGTCTCTTCTGATCTTTGTTGGTTTAAAGTCTGTTTTATCACAGACTAGGATTATAACCCCTGCTTTTTTTGCTTTCCATTTGCTTGACAGATCTTCCTCCACCCCTTTATTTTGAGCCTATGTGTGTCTCTGCACATGAGATGGGTCTCCTGAATACAGCACACTGATGGGTCTTGACTCTTTATCCAATTTGCCAGTCTGTGTCTTTTAATTGGAGCATTTATCCCATTTACATTTAAGGTTAATATTGTTATGTGTGAATTTGATCCTGTCATTATGATGTTAGCTGGTTATTTTGCTCATCAGTTGATGCAGTTTCTTCCTCGCATCAATGGTCTTTACAATTTGGCATGTTTTTGCAGTGGCTAGTACCGGTTGTTCCTTTCCATGTTTAGTGCTTCCTTCAGAAGCTCTTGTAAGGCAGGCCTGGCCTGGTGGTGACAAAATCTCTCAGCATTTGCTTGTCTGTAAAGGATTTTATTTCTCCTTCACTTATGAAGCTTAGTTTCGCTGGATATGAAATTCTGGGCTGAAAATTATTTTCTTTAAGAATGTTGAATATTGGCCCCCACACTCTTCTGGCATGTAGAGTTTCTGCTGAGAGATCCGCTGTTAGTCTGACAGGCTTTCCTTTGTGGTAACCCAACCTTTCTCTCTGGCTGCCCTTAACATTTTTTCCTTCATTTCAATTTTGGTGAATCTGACAATTATGTGTCTTGGAGTTGCTCTTCTCGAGGAGTATCTTTGTGGCATTCTCTGTATTTCCTGAATTTGAATGTTGGCCTGCCTTGCTAGGTTGGGAAAGTTCTCCTGGATAATATCCTGAAGAGTGTTTTCAAACTCGTTTCCATTCTCCCTGTCACTTTCAGGTACACCAATCAGATGTAGATTTGGTCTTTTCACATAGTCCCATATTTCTTGGAGGATTTGTTGGTTTCTTTTTACTCTTTTTTCTCTAAACTTCTCTTCTCATTTCATTTCATTCATTTGATCTTCAATGACTGATACCCTTTCTTCCACTTGATTGAATTGGCTAAAGAAGCTAGTGCATGCATCATGTAGTTCTCGTGCCGCGGTTTTCAGCTCCATTAGGTCATTTAAGGTCTTCTCTACACTGTTTATTCTAGTTAGCTGTTTGACTAATCTTTTTTCAAGGTTTTTAGCTTCTTTGTGATGGGTTCAAACATCCTCCATTAGCTCGGAGAAGGTTGTTATTACTGATCGTCTGAAGCCTTCTTCTCCCAACTTGTCAAAGTCATTCTCCATTCAGCTTTGTTCTGTTGCTGGTGAGGAGCTGTGTTCCTTTGGAGGAGAAGAGATGCTCTGATTTTTAGAATTTTCAGCTTTTCTGCTCTGGTTTCTCCCCATCTTTGTGGTTTTTACCTACCTTTGGTCTTTGATGATGGTGATGTACAGATGGGGTTTTGGTGTGGATGTGAAGGGGTCCAGCCCCTCCACACCTGTGGGTGTTTCTCATCAGGTGGGATGAGAGACTGAGAAAATAAATAAGAGACACAGACAAAGTATAGAGAAAGAACAGTGGGCCCAGGGGACCAGCACTCAGCATACAGAGGACCCGCGCTGGCCCTGGTCTCTGAGTTCCCTCAGTATTTATTGATCACTATCTCTACCATCTCGGAGAGGAGGATGTGGCCGGACAATAGGGTAATAGTGGGGAGAGGGTCAGCAGGAAAACATGTGAACAAAGATCGCTGTGTCATAAATAAGTTTAAGGAAAGGTGCTGTGCTTTGATGTGCACGTACACAAACATCTCAGTTCATTAAAGAGCAGTATTGCCGCCAGCATGTCTCACCTCCAGCCCTAAGGTGGTTTTCTCCTATCTCAGTAAACAGAACATACAATCAGGTTTTACACCAAGACATTCCATTACCAGGGACGAGCAGGAGACAGATGCCTTCCTCTTATCTCAACTGCAAAGAGGCCTTCCTCTTTCACTAATCCTCCTCAGCACAGACCATTTATGGGTGTTGGGCTAGGGGATGGTCAGGTCTTTCCGTTCCCACAAGGCCATCTCTCAGGCTATTACATGGGGAGAAACCTTGGACAATACCTGGCTTTCCTGGGCAGAGGTCCCTGTAGCCTTCCACAGTGCATTGTGTCCCTGGGTACTTGAGATTAGAGAATGGTGATAACTTTTACCAAGCATACTGCCTTCAAGCACTTTTTTAACAAAGCACATCCTGCACAGCCCTAAATCCATTAAACCTTGAGTCAACACAGCACATGTCTCTGCAAACACAGGGTTGGGGCTAGCATTACAGATTAACAGCATCTCAAGGCAGAATAATTTATCTTAGTACAGAACAAAATGGAGTTTCTTATGTCTACTTCTTTCTACATAGACACAGTAACAGTCTGATCTCTCTTTGCTATGGGTTCAAACATCCTCCGTTAGCTTGGAGAAGGTTGTTATTACTGACCGTCTGAAGACTTCTTCTCTCAACTCATCAAAGTCATTCACCATCCAGCTTTGTTCCATTGCTGGTGAGGAGCTGCATTCCTTTGGAGGAGAAGAGGCACTCTGATTTTTAGACTTTTCAGCTTTTCTGCTCTGGTTTCTCCCCATCTTTGTGGTTTTATTTACCTTTGGTCTTTGGTGATGGTGACGTACAGATGGGGTTTTGGTGTGGATGTCCTTTCTGTTTGTTAGTTTTTCTTCTAACGGTCAGGACCCTCAGCTGCAGGTCTGTTGGAGTTTGCTGGAGGTCCACTCCAGACCCTATTTACATGGGTGTCACCAGCGGAGGCTGCAGAACAGCAAATGTTGCTGCCTGAGTGTTCCTCTGGAAACTTTGTCTCAGAGGGGCACCTGGCCATAAGAGGTGTCAGTCAGCCTCTACTGGGAGGTGCCTCCAAGTTAGGCTACTCGGGGGTCAGGGACCCACTTTAGGAGGCAGTCTGTCCACTCTCAGATCTCAAACTCCGTGCTAGGAGAACCACTACTCTCTTCAAAGCTGTCACACAGGGATGTTTAAGTTTGCAGAAGTTTCTGCTGCCTTTTGTTCAGCTATGCCCTTTCCCCAGAGGTGGAGTCCACAGAGGCAGGCAGGCCTCCTTGAGCTGTGGTGGGCTCCACACAGTTCGAGCTTCCTGGCCGCTTTGTTTACCTACTCAAGCCTCAGCAATGACAGACACCACTCCCCCAGCCTTGCTGCTGCCTTGCAGTTCAATCTCAGACTGCTGTGCTAGCAGTGAGCGAGGCTCTGTGGTCATAGGACCCTCCAAGCCATGCACAGGATATAATCTCCTGGTGTGCCATTTGCTAAGACCACTGGAAAAGCACAGTATTAGGGTGGGAGTGTCCCGATTTTCCAGGTACCATCTGTCACAGCTTCCCTTGGCTAGGAAAGGGAATTCCCCAGCCCCTTGTGCTTCCCAGGTGAGGTGATGCCCCACCCTGCTTCAGCTCACACTCTGTGGTCTGCACCCACTGTCTGACAAGCCCCAGTGAGATGAACCCAGTACCTCAGTTGGAAATGCAGAAATCACCTGTCTTCTGCGTCACTCATGCTGGGAGCTGTAGACTGGAGCTGTTCCTATTCAGCCATCTTGGAACCAGAAAACCATTTTTTACTCTTTTAAATGCTTCCTTCAAAGAACAAAGTTGTTTTTGGTGAAATACAATTTTTCCATTTTTTTCTTTAAGTTTCTGAATTACAATTAATTGGAATTTTAATCTACTGGTTACTGTGTTGGACAGCATGGGTCAGAAGAGGAGATGAAAAATAACAAAAAATTAATAAATGGTGATAACAGTTGATAAAAAAGCAAGCATGACATTGATTTAGACAAATGTGGTTGTTGAGAGTGATTGTGGACCACTCTCCATTAGGGTGTTCAGGAAAGGCCTTTTTTAAGTGACCTGTAACTCATATCAGTGAAAAAGAACATGCTATAAAAAGATTCCACAAAGTGAGAGCATTAAGCTCAAAGGTCCTGAGGTAGGTGTGTTTGAGGAGCTGGTGTGTAGCTGCTGTATAAGAAGTCAACCTCCTTATTTTCAGGTACATTTATTATTATTTTAACCCCAAGCAGAATTGCCTAGCTGGGTCCCTCACCTTTACACAATAGTCATAGGATTTGACTGTTATCAAAAAGTAAATCCACTCTCAGAGGCCATAGATTTCCTATTACTGAGGTTCTTCAAAAGAATATGTAATCAATTTATATAGCAATTCCTAAAAATGAGATTCTAAAATATAGTAGCATGCAGATGAAGCATAGCTAATGCTTTAAATTATTCTGTAATAATGCATTCCTGAGGATATCCAAATTTTCACAGAACAGTTTTAATGAAATGGAAGCACATACTGGAATCATTTTAGTTAGGGATGATTTGTATCAGACTAAAACACTCTGACCTTTTGGTTTCACATACTAATTTAAAACTCTTTAGGATGAATGTTGAAATAGGGAAGAGAGACTTACAGGCTCAGAAAGCTAGGGAAGTGAAAATAATTGTAAAACAGCTCTAACATTTTTAAATGTAGCAGCTGCTGTTGTGAACTTCATTCTGCCTTTTCTTTCTAATTCTCTGGGTCCAGATCTGTTTACACCACCTCCTGGTACAACACCCCTAAGAGCTGACTTTGGCAGTTGTGTATCTCTGTTACTGGGGCTTGAATTAAACATCTTAGTGAACAAACTTTAGCTTTACTCTTCAATACTGAAAAAAAAAATGTTATGCCCATGGTTAAACCAGTATCCTACTCAATCCTTCTGTGATGTTACTCACAAAATGAATTGCATAAAATCGGATACCTGAGATTGTTTTGGCTGGGAGGATCCTTGAATTATAAAGATTAAATTAGATTAATCAGGAATGACCTCTGTTACTCCTCATGGGGACATTCAACTTCTGACTGAACTTTTTTTTTCCTTTAAAATTGGGGTAATAGCCCATATCCTCCACATCTCAGAAGGTTCATTTTTATTGGTCCAAAGGAAGTATATGAAAACACTTCCAAAAAAAGTGTAGGTGTTATCAGTATATCATACCATGTGAGAGAAGGTGTAAAGCAACAAAAGGAGTTTTGTTTTGTTTTGTTTTGTTTTGTTTTTGAGATGGAGTTTCACTCTTGTTGCCCAGGCTGGAGTGCAATGGTGCCATCTCAGCTCACTGCAACCTCTGCCTCCCAGGTTCAAGCGATTCTCCTGCTTCAGCCTCCCAAGCAGCTGGGATTACAGGCATGCACCACCATGACCAGCCAATTTTGTGTTGTTAGTAGAGATGGGGTTTCTCCATGTTGGTCAGGTTGGTCTCGAACGCCCGACCTCAGGTGATCCGCCTGCCTCGGCTTCCCAAAGTGCTGGGATTACAGGCGTGAGCCACTGCGCCTGGACAGGAGTTTGGTTTTTAAAAATTTAACACAAGAACATGTATATGCATTTGAATGTACACCAGCCTTTAAAGCAGTCACCATTGGAAGTCATATATACCAAATATCATGAGGGAGAAACTGGAACAAAAAGATGAGTTGGCTATAACTTACGGAAAAGTGAAGAAAATTTCAAAAACCTCTTTATGTGAATGCTCAACTATATTTAAAACACATCAATTCTATGAGGTAGGTATTAACCCTTTCTTACAGAAGAAGGAACTGAACCCCATCAAGGCTACACATAATAAGTGGCAGAGGTGAAATTTGAACCCAGATCTACCAACTCCAAGTTTCTTTTCAATTTGACTATAACTGCATTTTTGATTGCTTGTGACATAAGACATACGAGAGAGTAGATTTGAATTATGTATAAGCAGCTGAGAAAAATGCAATTGAGGGACTTTTCTGAATTGAGAAAAAGATGACATTCTTTGGAGAGCAGACTTTCTACCCTCTCCATCTATCATTGAATGTTATATTCATTGCTGCCACTAGTTAAATATTAGGTAGACATTGACTGGTAGTTACAATCAATGACACAGTCACTGGCCTAATTACTTTGGTGATTTTTATACCATGGTGTCTGACATTCCCAGGTGTTTTGTATAAGGCACACGTATTTCAAGAGCTCTTCAGCCAGGCCTAATCTCTATGCTGATGCCTCAGTCTTGCTTGCTGTTGGAAAGCTTGGCATATTCTCCAGACATAGTCAGAGGACTATATTTCAAAGCTATGTGTGGGTGCACTGAATTCTATGCCTCAGATGATTCCACTGTGGAAAATGATGTGGAAACCCAGTTGAAACGCTCTCACTTCAGTTAACTTTTATATCACAAATCTTAAGTCTGGAAAAGGAAAACAAACTCTTGTGTCCATACTTATTCTTTCTTACGACGTGAAAACAATAGTACATTTTAACATGGCTGAAGAAAAATTAATTTATGTGACTGTTTATAGAATATAATATAGTTTTATAAGATAAAAATTAAGGACAATATTTTACTTTTTTTTTTTTTGAGACAAAGTTTTGTTCTTGTTGCCCAGGCTGGAATGCAATGGCATGATCTCAGCTCACTGCAACCTCTGCCTCCCAGGTTTAAGCAATTCTCCTGCCTCAGCCTCCCAAGTAGCTGGGATTACCAGAGTACACCACCAGGCCCGGCTAATTTTGTACTTCTTTAGTAGAGACAGGGTTTCACCATGTTGGTCAGGCTGGTCTTGAATCCCTGAACTCAAGTGATCCACCCCTGCACACTCGGCCTCCCAAAATGTTGGAATATTTTACTTTTGTATACATCTAAAAAGTAATTATTAATTTTGAAGATTGAGTCTTCTAAGTTAAAATAGACAGTTGTAACTCATAGACAGAACGTTCACAAGTCACAGATACCTAAATAGTGCAGTTTTTGCTTTTAGTTCTGAAATGAAGATTGTCATGAAGCAGCTTATCACTCTCTGTGCCTTCACCATTCTCCTGGGTTATGATTTGGTGAAAAGGCTGCGGGAAAAAATGTGGAACATGTTGAACAGATAGGGAGAAGTGAGAAAGCCGATGGTACCTACAGAAATGAAATCCTTGGCTGGGAGTGGTGGCTCACGTCTGTAATCCCAACACTTTGGGAGGCCGAGGCAGGTGGATCACCTGAGGTCAAGAGTTTGAGACTAGTGTGGCCAACATGGTGAAACCCCTTCTCTACTAAAAATACCAAAAATTAGCCGGGTGTAGTGGCGGACACCTGTAATCCCAGCTACTCAGGAGGCTGAGACAGGAGAATCACTTGAACCTGGGAGGGAGAGGTTGCAGTGAGCTGAGATTGCGCCATTACACTCTGGCCTGGGCAACAAGAGTGAAACTCTGTCTCAAAAAAAAAAAAAAAAGAAATCCTCTCCAATCAACAAATTAGGTGACTGAATTCTTTCACAATTCTTGCATTTCCATTCAGGACTTGGTGGCTATTCTTTTCAAAGTAGAGGCATGTTGTGCCTTATAGTACCACATACAACTTAACAAAAATATGTAGTTATAAAACTTGCCTTCCTGGAGGGTATTTGTAGCTAAAAGTAAACTAGATTTCAACTTAGATTGCCAGTAAAACACATTATAAACTATAAAGTATTACAAAAATAGGTATATAATATTAAGGTTACATGTGTATCTAAATCTTCCCTAAATCTGAATTTGTTTTATTTGACAAAGTCTATAAACAACCCCAGGACAATAAAAATTGTATCCTCAGAAAGTTTGTCCCAATCCCCTTTCATCCTATCCCCAGCTGCATCTGCCTACAAGTCCCCAGCCTGCCCAGGCTCTGTAGCTTCTATACACCTGTTCCATTTCCAACTGTTCCTGTGTTGTATATTTTATAACAAACTGTTATACACAAGTACAGTGTTTGGCTGAGTTCTGTGAGTATTTTAATCAAATTCTCAAACTTGAGAAAGGAGTTATGGGAGTCCTCACTTCTTAGTAGCTCAGAAGTACGTATGGGTACCTGTGGTTTCTGACTGGCATCTGCAGTAAGAGCAGTGTTGTGGGACTAAGCTCTGGACTCTAGGGCCTGTGCTGACTTTGGTGGTGTGAGATTTAAAATGTTAAACAACTAGTTGGTGTTGGAGAACTGCTTTGTATTCCTCAAACTCTACAGATGTAGTGTTAGAAGAAAGACATCGGCCAGGCATGGTGGCTCATGCCTGTAATCCCAACACTTTGGGAGGCTGAGGTGGGCAGACCATGAGGTCAGGAGTTTGAGACCAGCCTGACCAACACGGTGAAACCCCATCTCTACTAAAAATACAAAAATTAGCTGGGCATGTTGGCAGGTGCCTGTAGTCCCAGCTACTCAGGAGGCTGAGGCAGGAGAATCACTTGAACCCAGGAGGCAGAGGTTGCAGTGAGCTGAGATAGTGCCACTGCACTCCAGCCTAAGTGACAGAGTGAGACTCCATCTCAAAAAAGAAGAAGAAGAAGAAGGAGAAGAACAAAGAAGAAGAAGAAGAACAAGAACAAGAACAAGAAGAACAAGAACAAGAAGAACAAGAACAAGAAGAAGAAGAAGAAAGAAAAGAAGAAGAAGAAAGAAGAAGGAAGAGGAAGAGGAAGAAGAACAAGAGGAAGAAGAAGAAGAAGAAGAAGAAGAAGAAGAAGAAGAAGAAGAAGACGACGACGACGACGACAGGGGCCTGAGCTAGAGAAAGACTGGGTGTCTGGAGAAGAAAGGCTCTCTTCTCCTGTATATAGGCTGTCACACTGCACATTCTCCTGTGATTTCAGTTCTTTTCCCCAGGTAAGAGGGGACTAAAAACTTCAGAACAGACCCCCTTAGCCTACAGCTACCATCACATACTTTTCACTCACTTATAAACATACTCCTAGGAGGTATTAATGTGGCCATGCCCCTCCCAGGAGTAAGTACCACCCTTAGGAATCCCATCACAGTGCCTTCTCTTCTAGTTTCTTGCCAAAAACCTACACAAGTGCCTATAGGTCTCCTAGTATAATTCTACCCTCAGACACTGAATCTGCAACAGCAACCTGTTCTCTCCACCACCTGTTAATAATCTCAACTGCCTGCACGGACACAGGAATAATTCTGAGTATAGCCCCTTCTAGACCATTATCTTTAACACAAACCAGTCTGTCCACCTACCTTTTACTGTCCTCCACTCATGGATTTTTGGTGGCTCCTTTCTGTTTTCTACATTTTTCCCCACAGTTTCTCTTTTACGTGTACACAGTGTGTCCAGGACCACCCATTAGATACCTAAATCCAGTGTGTACTGAAATTCAGATGTCTGGAAGTTCAAGATCATGTCCTTAATCCAGCTGTTGCTTTTCTTTAAAAAGCATTTAGCCTACATGTACATTTTTGTTTGCTTTTTTGAAATACACACATATATATAAATTATTTTAACAGCTAAATAAAACTTACCTTTTTTTCTTTTTTTTGACTCAGGATTCTCTTTATCTAGGACCTGAGAACCACCACTTTGTTTTTGCTTTTGATTTGGCAAAGTTTTTTTTTTTTCCATTTTCAGTCTTTTAAAGTAGACACAGATTTGTTTAGAATGATAAAGCTCACTTTAAGATCACACAAAAGTTGAGCACAAAGGATAGGATTCAATTCAGCAATACAGAGTAATGAAGAGTAAAAGATACTAAGTTTCTCCAATAGAAAACTAATCATCCAAGGCGATTATATCAAAGGTGATAATATCTGGAGCCTAAAGTATTTAACACTGCAAAAGCTAGAACTGTTAGTGTATAAACTGAGCAGTGGAATTTTTAGCTGTGCTTTGGTTTCTACTTATTACTTCAGAAAAATTAGCATAGTTTTGTTTAGTCTTTAGTAGACAACATGCATCCATGTAAATTAAACAGTATTTTCTACAATTGTGTGAATATAAGGCCACAATATTTATTTTGAATAAACTTCTTAAATAGTAATTTTAATATTAATGTTATTAATTTGTTTGAAATATAAAGTATTATAACTTTAAGTTTATATAACTTTATTATAAGTATTAATTTGTTTGAATTAAGTTTATATAACTTTAATATAAGCATTAATTTGTTTGAAATATAAAGTATTATAAAATATTGTAATTAAGCTTACAGATAATTTTTAAAATATATACATTATGACTAATATACCAAAATTATTTATATGTACACATTTATATTTAATACCCAAAGAAAATTTACTACCACATTGCTACAGTAGATATTAACCTGACATGTTTATTAATTGATCCTATAGGTATAATTATAGGTCAGCATAATTTTACAGTCTATTCTTTTATTTTACTAAATTAGGAATGCCACTATTCCCGGACAAATAAATGCAGGTGATGTGGCCACCCAAGAATCATAGTAGCTCTTCAGTTAGCTATCTTGCAATCTCTGATATAATTCTACTATGTGAATAGAGTGAATTCCAATTCTTCATCAAAAAGTGCTGGTGGAGGTTGTCAGGTGTGTTCCAGTATAGATTCCCAATCCAACGGCCGGCAGATGGGAGAGCAGCAGAGATGGAAATTCTGCTCAGAATAAGCCCTCTTTCTCATAATACTTGTATTTCTCATGCTGAGAGTAGCTGTGCACTTTTGGTGTTTAGAGAAGAACTTCTTTGGAAGAATATTTTCTGGTCAATTTGACCAATGTTACATGTAATCTGAATTTGTCTTTAAGATTCTTTCAACCTCTTTTCTTCTCTCAATACGGTTTTACTCAGACTGAGAGCTGTCTTTCTCTTCAATGCTTTGGGAATTCAGTGCTTTGTGTCTAAGCCCTATTAGTATCACATGGTGTCTGTGAGTGAGGGGGGCTGTCACCGTGAGAACTCCTGGAGCTGCTCTATCTAGATCCATGCTATGTATCCAGCAATATTCTTTTTGTGTCAGTATTATAAATAGAAACTGAGGCTGAAACATTGCTCCCGTTTCCCTTATTGCAAAAGTGCAATTCTACCCAAGAGCCCTGCAGGCTCTCCTCCTGCAGCTCAGGGACCCCGCTCTGTAATGTAAAATGTGGGGACCCCACTCTCTAATGTAAAATGTGAGCTGCCAGCTGTGGGCTGTGCCTCAGTGGTAGATGGCAGGGTTTGGGAGAGGACACAGGCCACCAGGAGAGGGCAAGCAGAATTGCTGCAGCCCAGGGCTTAGTGAGTAGGGATCCATTGCTTTGAAATATAAATAGCCGGCCGGGCGCGGTGGCTCATGCCTGTAATCCCAGCACTTTGGGAGGCCAAGGCGGGCAGATCACAAGGTCAGGAGATCGAGACCATCCTGGCTAACACAGTGAAATCCCGTCTCTACTAAAAATACAAAAAAATTAGCCAGGTGTGGTGGCGGGCACCTGTAGTCCCAGCTACTAGGGAGGCTGAGTCAGGAGAATGGCGTGAACCCGGGAGGCAGAGCTTGCAGTAAGCCAAGATCGCACCACTGCACTCCAGCCTGGGCGACAGAGCAAGACTCTGTCTCAAAAAAAGAAAAAAAAAGAAATATAAATAGCCAAGATGATAGTACCCTATCTCACTCTTTCTGTACGAGATGGAGGGTGACTTAGAGCCACTTAGAGCCACTTACAGCTGAAGGTAAGGTAGGCTTACCTGCAACAGACACCTGGCTCTAAGTTGCAAAACTGCCTCCTATCATGATGTTGGAAGTTTATTTTTTCTTTGCATATAACCAACCAGCATACACAGAAGGCCTCCCCAATTACCAGGTGAGTTTAAGATGAACTATGTATAACAAATGGTTTGTACAGAAGGGAGGCAGGAGAATGGGGTATGGAGGCAGAGAACTTAAGGCCAATTTGTGCTGACTTCCTAAAAGAAAAAACACCAAGGTCTGGAGGCAGGAAACCTAAGGCCAATTAAGACAAACTTCCAACAGCTAAACCAAAAGAAAAAGTCCCATCTCCCCACACCTGAATAGCAAAGGATCAAAGGCTACTGTCCCTACAACCCTCCCCTTTCTACCACTTCTCAGGTAGAAAGGGAAAGTGCCTTGGAGTGGCTGCAGGCCAAGCACCTGCATTCCTTCATCCGCATAGCGTGCCAATTCTCCTAAGCCTTTAATTAGCCACAGACTAAATCCTTAATCCATATCAGTGGTAGCTGATAGGGACCTCAAAAGGAGTACTAAAAACCCAGAAAACTTCGTAACTGGGTCCTTGAGCCACTTGCTCAAGCCCATACCCACCCTATTTCTTACCTTAATAAATTTCCGCTTTTGATGCTTCCTCCCTCTGTTTTGTTCCTTTGTTACTTTGTGCATTTTGTTCAATTCTTTGTTGTCAAGGACCTGGACAACTCACACTCACGGCCTTCGTTCTGGGAACAGAAGTGCAGTTAGATGTGGATGCATGTGATTGGTGCTTAAACTCACAGTGCCCCACACCAAAGGAGAAAAACACATAGTTACAGCCTGTGTGTCCAAATTAAGTCCAGATTAGGTCCAAGGACAAATAGCAAAACAAGAAGATTGCCTTTAATCTTTTCCCTCCACTTCTAAACTCTGGAGGACAAGGCTGTGAAGAGATCTGAAGACATGGTGTTCTCTGCTTGTGTGGCCCCAACATTCTTTGTTTGCTGTCTGATATTTGAAAGGAAGAGGAACCTTTGATAGAGGAGGCAGTCGGACGCTGGTTAGGCAGATAGAGAGAGGGCCTGGGGAGAGGAAAAACACGTGTGGGACCGCACCTGCACCACATCTGTAGCTAGCAGGAAGAAATGTGGTTAAGAACTTCCTCTTATGCCAGGATGTTGCTCCAAAGGGACTGTCCCAACTTAGCACAGGCGCAATAAATCAACCCAAATGTCCTTAACTTGACCCAGCTCATTATAAGGTCATTAACATGACATTAGCATTGTGGTTTTGGCTCTCCTCGTGTAAGTTTCGCTTAGGCACTCATGGGTAATAACCAAAATGGAGTCACTGTGGCCAATCCCAGGCATGCGCAGATGCAACACCCTTAGTGAGGAACTTTACCCCTCCCATTTGGGCAGAACCCACAGAAGACATACTTGTTCTTGCCACATAAAAGACCCAGACCTCAGCCTCATTTCTGGCAACCTGCTTTCAGGTCCCCTCTTGCTTCTGAGAGCTTTCCTTTTGCTTAATAAATCCTACTCTGCCTTGCTCACTCTCTGGTATCCGTGTGCTTCATTCTTTTTGGTCGTGGCACAAGAGTCCCGACCTGGCTGAACCGAGGAGACCACCACACCTCCACCAAACAGCAACTGGGAAACCGTGGTCTTCACGTGGATACTCTCAGCTTGCAGCCCCTGCTCTCTCTAGGGGCACTGTCCCACCCACCCTTGAGCCTGAGGAGAAAAGTTGGTAGAGAGGCTGGTCCCTTACTTCCAGCAGAAAAGAGGTGTTCAGGCCCTCACTTCCCTAAGGGAAGAGAGCCCTCATGGCTGCGCTCAATGTGGCAGCCACCTGCCATATGTAGCTACTGGGTACCTGGAATGTGACTGGTTTGAAGTAAAATGTGCTGCAAACATAAAATACACAGTGAGTTTAGAAGAATTAGATCAGAAATACATAAAATACACAGTGAGTTTAGAAGAATTAGATCAGAAATATACTTTATTTCTAATTATATATCAATCACATATTAAAACAATATTTTGATACAATGAGTTAAAAATTATTACAAACAACTTCACTCTTTAAATATTATTTTTGACGTGGCTAATAAAAACGCAAAATTCACAAATTAACATTTTATTTTTTAAAGGATTGCTTCCCTCTTAAAATCTCAGGTGTCCTACTCAAAAGACTAGCGGCCAGAAGGGTTATGAAATCTAAAATATTAAAATAATTGTCATTATATCACTTCCGTTTGTGAAAAAGTGTGTGTGCATGCATGTGTGCATGCGTGTGTGTGCGCGCGTGTGTGTGCGCGTGTGTGTGCACGTCTGTGTGTAAGTGTATTTTACAAGTGGACATAACCTTACACACAACAAGGTTAAAAAAAACACCCCTGGGCTGCGTCAGGCCAAGCCGGGAGAGAAAGCCCCGCCTGAAAGGGCCTGGAGGCCCCAGCCTGTCACTCTTGCCACATCAGTGGAGTGTATGGTTGCAAATTCTGTTACTCAAGGCCCGAGGGCGGGGATTGGAGTAATATCCAATCAGAGTGTCGGAATGAGAACTGCCCAATCAGGCCCGCAGCCAGAGAGGAGGGGTTGGCTTCCGGGATCTGGCGCGGCGTTTTCCTCTGGCTCCTGCGAGGGCTTGGTTTAGGGCTTCGGCTCTCTGCGTTCTCGGCTCCGGGAGGCCTCGGTGATTCAGCCACAGCCTCTGCCTCCCGTTGCTCTGTGACCTGAGGGTATTGGACAATTTGTAGCTAAGACTCCCGGATACCCTGAAGTCGGGAAATGGTGAGTGTGCGGGGCAGGGCGTCCGGAGGCTGGGGAGGCCTCATCGGAACCGGCGGGAAATGGCGGCGGCGGGACCGAGTCTGCGAACGGAGTCCCCGCTGCCGCCTCTCAGCCCTCAGTCCCCTCCGGTGACGGACCGGGCTCCTGTCGGTCCCCGCACGGCGGCTCTGGCCCAGCCTGCGGCCCTCCTTGTGCAGTTCTGCGCCCGCAGCCCCGCACCTTCCCTGGGCCGTGGGGTGAGGAGGAGCTCATCTGGAAGACGCCGGCGCCCGCGTGCGAGGTGCCCGCCTGGGAGGAGCTGTGGTCCGGGGGTCCGGTCCCTACTTTACCCTGTTCGGAATGAGATCGAGGCCCCATCGAAACAAAGTTCATGTGAGCAAACGGGGTCTCATTAATGGGACAGCGTCGGCCGCGGCTCCTGGTTTGGGGACTGCCAGCGGGTCTTGAAGGAAAGGCTTTTGTGAGGTGTGTGAGCAAGCGAAGCAAATCACCCGCCCGCTCCAACTATTCCACCAGTCCCTTTGCCCTGTGCACCTCCTCCGCGTGGCTGTTCCTGAGTAACATCTTTTAGAATACGCTGGTGTCGGTGCGCACGGCGCTTCTCAGTTCTGTGAGTAGTTCTGCCACATTGCTGAACTTGAGGGTGTGGGCGCCCCTGGTTTGTAGACAGGCGTTCAGAAATGAAGACGGGTGTCCAGAGGCAGGGACTGGCGTCTGCAGCGGGAGCAGTTGTGGGAAGAGCGCTGAGCTTGTGGGGTCTGCGCTGACTCTGGGTGGTGTCGTTAGTGAGTTGCTGGACACCGCGTTGGGGTTGGAGCATTGACTGGTGTTGAGGAAACTCCGCACGTTTTCTGTCAGAAGAAAGACATGGCTGAGCCTGGGCTGGAGAAAGATGCCTGGTGTCTGCGGGAGGCGCGGCCGGGTTCTGCATATGTGCTGTCCCGCTGGGCACTGTCCTTTTCCTCCAGGTCTCCTTCCGGGGAGAGAGGGGACCCAGAACAAAGAGGAAAGGAGTTCTGAGAAACATCCCTTCCCTGCACCCTGCTGCCAGCCCCCACCCAATGCTAGTCCACTCCTGAGCACGCCCACCGGGCATTCGCATTGCCCCACTCTTCCCAGTACGGGATTCCACCTCAGGAATTGTGCCCATGGCAGCTTTGCGCCTAGCGTTTTCTGCCAAAAACACACGCAGTGCCCAGAAGTCTCCTGGCTCATCTCAACCGCAGACCGGATCTACAGCAGGAACCTGCTTCCTTCACCCACCCAGGCTTCCGGACCACCTGATCCTAATCCCTTCTGTCTTTGTAGACATGGAATCAGAGCGTAGCCCTGCCTCGGCCTGTACCTGTGGCACAAACCAGTGCTTTAGTCAGTCCTGCTCTGCTCCCACTCATGGCTTTTTTTTTTGAGATGGCGTCTTGCTCTGTTGCCCAGGCTGGAGTGCAGTGGCGTGATCTCGGCTTACTGCAAGCTCCGCCTCCCAGGTTCACGCCATTCTCCTAACTCAGTCTCCCGAGTAGCTGGGATTACAGGCGCCCGCCACCATGCCTGGCTAATTTTTTTTTTTTTGTATTTTTAGTAGAGACGGGGTTTCACCGTGTTAGCCAGGATGGTCTGGATCTCCTGACCTTGAGCCCTCCCGCCTCGGCCTGCCAAAGTGCTGGGATTACAGGCGTGAGCCACCGCGCCCGGCCTCCCACCCATGGCTGTTGATAGCTCCTTTCTCTTCTGCTTTTTCCTTCCCCACAAATTCTCTTTTCTGTGTACACGGTGTGCCCAAGTCCATCCCTCAGGTGCCTATGAGAATTCAGACGTTAGTGAGTTCGAAACCAGGCCTTTTGGCCTGGCTGTTGTAGGAGCAAACACAAATTAGAAGAGGCTTAATGCTTTCTCTTTAGAACGAGGGAAGAATTTTTGCTCTTCTCCTTTTTCTTAAAGCATTTAGTTTGAGAACTTTTATATTTAAATATTTTCTCTGCTTCTTTGAAATATATGTAAATCATTTTTATCAGTTAAATAGGTCATTTGTCTTTTTTGGCTCAAAATTGTCTTCTTCTGGGACCTGGGAACTATTGCTTTGAAATGTAAATAGCAAGAATATACACCCTATTTCACAGTTTCTGTAGGGGACTAGGAGGCTGCCTTCAGCAGGTACCTAGCTCCACATTGCAAATCTACATCCTGTCACGAAGATGTGGATGTTTATTTTTTCTTTAATGATTAGAAAAAATTAGAAAACCCAGATGACCTCTCAAATTACATGATGAAATTATAATAAATTGTGTATGACAAATGGTGCTTTCAAGGCTTCTACTTGAGAACTAATTATGGTGACTTTCTGTGTTTGCATTTTCTTAGATTGCTTGTGATGCACATCATATTTTGGTTTAATTATACAACAAAACATTTTCTTGCAGTTCTGTTACTGTGGAGACTTTTTTAGGATTGCAGATGATTTTGCTTTTAGTTATATTTTCCACACACTGTCCAGAATTACCAGATGTTATACACAAAATGTCGAGCAGACTTCACTTGAGAAAACATTCTTTCTCAGGATTCCAGTCACAACCTGCAATTGTGCGGCAAAGTGCAGCAAAGTATTTCCTAAATCTGCAAACAGAATGGTCTCTCTCTTGGCATCTACAGTCCTTTCTAGAGCAGTTAAATTTCTACAAAAATAACTTTTCAGGACAGCAGTCAGTTATTTCACCGCCTTCAGTGCTCCTGGCATCTTCCGTTCTGACACTGATTTCAGAGATATGGGGCCCATAAACCTAACCAGATTCACACATACGCATCGATTAAACCTGAGAAATTCTGCTCCCTCCCACCTCCCCTTGCCCACATGCCCACAAACATTTGGCATGGGCCACATTGTGGCCCACAAACATAGCTCACCAGCCCTCCAAGACCTAAATGTGCAGTTCCAAATTCTGAATTTATGTCCTGAGATTTGATAAAAGAACTTTTATTTGAGAAATACAAGTTTTTAGATTTATCAGACCCAGAGATGTGTTAAAATGAGACCACACTCACATACTGTTCTCCTCCTTGAACTATTTGTCTTTTGAAATTGCTTGCTATTGCCACAAGTGGCTGTAAATTAACCTAATAATGCCACACTGGACACTATGACCCATACCCTATAGCTTAACTATGTATATGGCCAATCACTAACCAATGTTACTTCTATAAACCAATAAGAATTTCTGACACCTTTCTATCAATCTCCTCTCTGACTTCCTTTTTGCCTGTAAAAATATGCTTGTAACTGCTTCTAATTGGAGTGTATATTCAGGGCAACTTTATACTCCAGGATTGCAGTCTTCAAGCTTTGGCTCAAATAAACTCTCTACTTATGTTTACCCCAGCTTTTTCCCTTTAGCTCAAAATATTCTTTAGAATATGTTGAAGGAGGCTTCATGAGAAGGTCTTTCCTCTGATTTTACTCTGTTTCCTGTAACTCAAGAATGCAGCACACATTGATCTCACCTAGAATCTGCACATAAAAGCTGGCTTCTGCCCAGGATTCACAAGACAGGGCCAGACTTTGGGTTGAAGAGATACAGAAAAGTCACAGAAGGTGTTTTCTGCATCATGAGAGGTCAGCATAGACATAAGCCCCACTTTCAGAGTGGAGCCCTTTGAGTTTTCCAGATCTTGTCCAGTGACCTGCTACAGCTGAGTAAGAGGCTTCTGGTGTGAACACAATACTGTGGCAGAATCTGTAAGTGTAAACAAGCACCTTAGCAGTGGGAAGTCAAGGCCACTAAATATCCAGAGCCATAATGCCAACTATGCCTCCCTGTGTTACTGGAGTAGAGTACTTTTTTCCTTCGCCTACCTCAGAGTTAGCTGATCAGGGACAGGGGATATCACATCCAGATCCAGGATCTGCATCTCCATCAGGGCAGTTCCATTTTCTGTTTGCACCCCAGAAAGTCAGCCTGAGTCTCCTGCCTGGATCACTATGGGGGCATCAGCCCAGGGTCACTGGGGACACTCTCAGCAGCATCAGTGAGTATTTGAGACATTTGAGGATGTCCTGTGCAGACTGGGTCAGTGTTTCATATGGACATTAGAAAAAGAGATGAAATAGTCGTGGTCCCTACCATCAAGGAACTTGCATTCTAGAGCACATTAATAAATGATTGAATTCAGCGTCATGTATTCAGTACAAAGATGAAAACTGTACAGGAGACTTAAGCTTCGTTTGGGTTACTTCCCTTTTATTGTTTTGTGAGTTTTGATACCACCACCTGCATGGCTGTTTATGGACAGAAGAGAAGTCATTATTTGTATTGTTTTTGCCTTGCTAAGAATAAATATTTAACTTCAAATATAATTGGTCTGGAAAAACAAAAGGGTTTTGGTTAAATTCCTTGTTATTGTATGTTATAGATGGGGAAGTGGCAAAATAGATAAAAATTTCACAAACTCTGGGAATCAAATTTCTTTTGGGCAGGCTTAGAAAAGACAAAACTGAAACTACTTAGTGGCCTAGAGAGCAGAAGCCTAGGGCCCATTTTCTGTCCCAACTTTGCCCAGATCCCCCCTCTACTGAACCTTGTCCAGGTCTGACCCCACACTGAAATACCTCACAGAACTGCTTAGAGAAGATCAGAGTTTGGAGTAGCTATTCCTACTGCCTCTCCAGAGCTGGTGCTCCCAATTTCCTGAAACACAAAAGCTGATAAATGGAGAAAGGCAATGTACTTTGAATTTAATGTACTTAAATTATTTTATGTAAAATTAAAACCAGTATTTCTAGAGACATCCCATCCAGCAACCTGTTCTCCATCTTTGCAGTTTCAGTGGATTTTTCACAAGTCTCAAAGTAACTATAAACACAAAAATAAAAAATTCCCGAATTGTACTTAAAACTTTCTTCTGTGTCTCTCCCATTTATCTACATTGAGCTATTATTCTATATATTTTTTAAAAATCAATGATAGGAAAACAGAAGAAAAAATAGAAATGCTGGGCCCTGCATTTAAATCCTGGGAAGTATCACACACTTTGTACCCACCTCCCAGGATGCTGTGAGAATTAACACACATAATGTGAGCTTCCCAGCACAGTGCTCTGTGACATACTCCTGAGCACATAGTACATGCTCCACAAATATCGCATTAATGCATGTGGATGTGCTGTTTTTCAAATGCAGACTTACTCAGACATTGCCACCATCTCCAGCCTCTGTAACCTTTAAAGGGCTTGCAGATAATGCCACGTTTCAGGATGTTGATTGCTGGTCTTGTCTTCGGATGAAAAGTATTTGTGTTGTGATAAGGGTGTTGGGGTAAGGGACTCTGCGTGCTGTGTCTGCTTTCTCTAGCTGAGTGGTACTATAACGGGTCTAGGAGGAGCATGAGCATTAATGGGAGACTTGGCTATAAAAAGCTGATTAATGGACCCTTTTCAAACCTGCAGAATTTTGTTACTTACAGTGAGGCCTAGAATACCAAATTTATGTGCACATTGAAGCTTGAGAGGCAATGTTTAGCTAAGTGACTCTCAGCCCAGTCTTCCAGTAGGATCACATGGCAGTTTGAAGAGAAACAGTCACCTGTTCCCTCCCCACAGATCCTGTTAAGTTTCTTGTGTGACATTACAGTGAGGCCAGGGTCAAGCATGAGGGCTTCCAGTTACTTTAATGAGACGTGAGTTCACCCTTTGTTCAAGGAGGTCACAGGACCTGCTTTGCTTGGTTTTGGTAGGGACAGATCAGTGTAGCCCATATTTCCATTGCAGCAACAAAAATTGCTGGCATGCCCTCCTTTTTCTTCAGAATTATACAATACTTTAGATAACATTACTGTGTTAAAAGTTATTTTATCAGATAATTCCAGTCAGCCCCATAAGTCACAACTAGTTCTCTGATTTCACTTATAGTCAAATTAAGAACTCTGTGACATGATAAATATGTGTTTTCAGGAACTCGTAACATTCAGGGATGTGGCCATAGAATTCTCCCCTGAAGAGTGGAAATGTCTGGACCCTGCCCAGCAGAATTTGTATAGAGATGTGATGTTGGAGAACTACAGGAACCTGGTCTCCCTGGGTGAGGATAACTTCAATACATAATTCCTAATACTTCCTCAGAGTTTCATTTTCTTTCTTTGCAGAATGTCTCTTGGGTGCTTCTGCTTTGCATTAATTAATTTCAGTGCCTTTCTACAAGAAAAAAATTGGGATTTGCTGGTGTAAAAAGAAAATCTTTAGGATGTTTCATCATTGCATAAACCATCTCTTTTCTTGAGCTAATTTTTGTCCTTCACTCTAGGATAGTAGTAATTCTAGAAATTCAGTGATGTAAAATATTGTTTTCCACATCTAAAATCTAATTTGCACCACTTATTTTTGATTCAGTAGTACTGGGTAGTGGAACTTAGAACCCACAGATTTAAAATATTTCAGTATTCTAAAGATTCTGTCAGGAAACAATTTTTGGATTAATTTTCTGGAGTCTTCCATAATTTCTTTATTCTACTTAGCATAGTAATAGATTGGTCATTGGAGTATCCCCAGCAATAGTCATGTTAATTTTTTTTTAATAAAACAGGTTTTGTGATCTCTAACCCAGACCTGGTCACCTGTCTGGAGCAAATAAAAGAGCCCTGCAATTTGAAGATACATGAGACAGCAGCCAAACCCCCAGGTAGGTGAGACTGAATGAAGGAGAGGACACAGGCTAGGAGGCCAGAGGTCAGGAAGGAAGCCAGGCCTTCAAATGTAGTCTGGGAAACTGCGCCAATAAAAATAATTTCCGAAAAGGCTGCATTTTTTCTCTTATTCACAAATAGGGTCATCTTCTGTCCCATGCTCTTAAATCTTCTAAGAATTTCCTTTTTTTCTTCAGTGATCTCCAAGTTTACAAGGAGAGCCAATGTCCACTTTATCGCTTATAATGGGCTGCATAATCTGACTGCTGTTCCATTGCTTTTAGTGACATAGGAGTATTTGTATTATTGAGGACCTCTATGTTAAAGTATTTTTTCAAATATTATTTTCGCATCATGCCTAAAATACGTAAGGTGAGTAGTGGACATAATGGGATTTTGTTTAGAAATCTTAGGAACACCGAGGACAGATGTTGCATCTTTTCTGCTTAGTGATTTTTTTTTAATTATACTTTAAGTTTTAGGGTACATGTGCACAATGTGCAGGTTAGTGACATACGTATACATGTGCCATGCTGGTGTGCATCACCCTGCTTAGTGATTTTTAATCCTGTAGAGGTTGCAAATGTAATTCTACAAAAACTCTTACTCAGCAATTTTATCAGAACAATAAGCGTTTTTCCAAATATGAAAAAATATGTTATTTTACTTCAAAATGTTATTTTGTATAAACTGAAATTTGTAATTTGAACTCTATATATATTCAAATTTTCAAATTACAATATAGTTTACAGCACAGGTTTTCAAACTCTTGGCTTCCCTGGGCCACATTGGAAGAAGATTTGTCTTGGGACACACTTAAAATTATAAAATACACAAACAGTAATGATAGCCGATGAGCTAAGAAACAAGAAATAGGTTTGTGAATAATTTTTTTGATACCCATCACCACAGATAAGCAAAAACGTCCTCACACTCAAAGGATTGGATACCACTGGTTTAAAGTATCTACTCACCTTCTAGATTTCTTTCTTTTTTCTTTTTTTTTTTTTTTGAGACGGAGTCTTGCTCTGTCACCAAGGCTGGAGTGCAGTGGCGTGACCTCGGCTCACTGCAACCTCTGCTGCCCTGCAGCCTCCACCTCCCGGGTTCAAATGGTTCTTCTGCCTCAGCCTCCTGAGTAGCTGGGATTACAGGTGCCCGCCATGGGGTTTCACCATGTTGGCCAGGCAGGTTTTGAACTCCTGACCTCAAGTGATCCGCCCACCTCTGCCTTCCAAAGTGCTAGAATTACAGGCCTGAGCCACCGTGCCTGGCCCGCCTTCTAGATTTCTTAAATGCACTATGTCATTAACCGGCTTAGAACATTCCTAAGTGTATATTAAGCTCTCAATTGTTACCTTATTTCTTGATAAACTATTATCTTATAATTTTGTCTTATTTAGTAGGAAGCCTCCTGGGATTCTGTCATTGAGCTATAATCTATCTATATGTAGAACTGTGTGTCACACACACATACACATACCTATATGAGTCATATATGTGTATAGGAAATTCTCGCTTAACATCATTGATAGGTTCTTGGAAACTGTAAGTAAAGCAACATATTGTTTAAGAAAACTAATTTTACCAGAGTTTAATAAATAAAAACAAGTTATGTTTGAATGGCATGTAACAACATTGTTTCATTTAAAGATGCAGTTTTCAAGAATCTATTTTGAACATTAAATGAGGACTTAACATACATCTGTGTTTGTGTGATACGGATTTTTCTGATAAAATTATATAACTATATTTAATTTGTACAATGTAATGATTTGATATGCATATACATTTTGAAACAAAATGTCAAGTTGATGAACACATTTATTACCTCACATAGATAACCATTTTTTTTTTGTCACAAGAACACTTGAGGTCTACTGTTGTAGCAAATTGTAAGCATACTTTACAGTATTACTATAAAGACAATGCTATTTTGCTAATCTAATGCTAATGTACATTAGCTTTCTCAGACTTACTCAACTTACAACTAATCATTTGTACTCTTTGAACAGCATCTCCTCATATTCCCACCCTCAGGCACTAACAACCACCATTCTACTCTCTGTTCCTATGAGTTTACATTTTTAGATTCCTCATCTAACTGAGAACATGCAGTTTCTTTGTGTTTGGCTTATTTCACTTAGCGTAATGTCTTCAAGGTCTATCAATGCTGTAAATGGCTAGATTTCCTTCTCTTTTATGGCTGAATAGTATTCTACTGTGTGTGTATATATATAAATTTTTTTGGCTATTTTAAGCAAAACTAAAATGAACATGGGGCTGAAGATTGTTCTTTGAGGTACTAATTTTATTTCCTTTGGTAGTATTCCCAGAGGTGGTATTGCTGAATTATGTGATACTTTCATTTTTATTTTTTACTGATTTGTATGATGACTTTATCAATTTATATCTCACTAGTGGCATACAGGATTTCCCTTGTATGTATGTCTTCTTTGTGGGAAAAACAAAACTAACCTTTTGCCTATTTTTGAATAGGTTATCATCATTATTGTTTTGCTTTGAATTGCAGAAGTTTCTTACACATTTTGGATATTAACTATCAGATATATGGCTTGCAAATATTTTTCTATTGTGTAGGATTTTTTAAAATTTTGGTTTTTTCCTTTACTGTACAGAAGCTGTACACTTTGATGCAGTCCCACTCTTTTGTATTTTCTTCTGTTGCTGTGCTTTTGATGACATACCAAATTGCCAAGACCAATATCAACAAGGTTTTTCCATATGTTTTATTCAGGAGTTTTAAGCTTTTATGTCTTACATTTAAGTCTTTTATTTTGAGTTAATTTTGGGGTATGGTATAAGAAAATTTTATTTATGGTATAGTCTAATTTTATTCTTTTGCTTGTGGATATCCAGTTTTTCTGGTACCATGTATTGACAAGACTATACTTTCTGCATTGTATATTATTGGTGGCCTTGTCAAAGATTAGTTGACCTTGTATGCATGGATATGTTTCTGGGCTCCCTATTCTGTTGCATTGGTTTTTGTATCTGTTTTTATGCACATACTATACTCTTTTGATTACCATGACCTTTAAGTAAAGTTTGAAATTAGAAAGTATGATGTCCCCAGCTTTGTTCTTTCTCAAGATTGCTCAGGTTATTTTAAGTTATTTAAGATAACACTTAAATTTTACAATTGTGTTTTCTATTACTGTGAAAAATGCCACTCAAATTTTGATAGGGATGACATTGAATCTCCATATCACTTTGGATAATATTCCTTGACAATATTAGTTATCCTAATGGAATATGTTTTCATTTATTTTTACCTACTTCAATTTCTGTCATCAATATCTTAACTGTGTTAGTGTATACATTTTTATCTCATCCTTTACATTTTAAAATTTATTTTATTTATGTACTTATTTTATGAGACAGAGTCTCACTCTGTTCCCTAGGCTGAAGTACAGTGGCACAATCTCAGCTCACTGCAACCCCCGCCTCTCAGGTTCAAGCGATTCTCCTGCCTCAGCCTCCCGAGTAGCTGGGATTACAGGCACGCACCACCATGCCTGGCTAATTTTTTTGTATTTTTAGTGGAGATGGGGTTTTGTGACCCAGCAGCACCCTTGTGACCCAGCTATGACCTTTCTTCTCAGCAACCCCAGAGGTAATCTTATCAGCCTGGGGACCCAATAAAAGGAGATCTTTACTTGCCAAAGATAGTTTTTTTTAGTGGAGATGGGGTTTTGCCATAGTTTATAGAAACTGTTAAGAGTTGTTAGATCCTTCAAATATACAGACATGGGGCTGTTTCAGGGACCAAAGCTGAGGCCAAGATCCACAAGCATGCCTCCAGGGCCACAGCTTCTACCTTAACATATTACTGAAAGTTTGTATCAGAACAATTAGACAAGGAAAATAACAAAGCTTTCCAGCTTGGAATAAAAGTAAAAATGTTACTGTTTGTAGATAATATAATTATGCGTATATACAAAACCCTAGAGTGAAACAACAAAAACTGAACTAATAAATGCATTCATTAAGGTATCAGGATACATGACCAACATAAAAATACTTGTGGGGTTTTTTTGTTTGTTTGAGATAGGGTCTCACTCTGTTGCCCAGGCTCATCTCAAACTCCTGTGCTCAAGTGATCCACCTTCCTTGGCCTCTAGCCTCTGAAAGTGTGCAGGGACTACAGAAATGAGGCACTGCACCTGACCCTACATACAAATATTTGTTGCATTTCCATATAGTAACAACAAACTTTCCAAAAAAGAGAGAAAGTTTCCAATTGCAATAGTATAAAAATAAGGAACTTAATCAAAATAAATGTAAAGTGACCAAGCATAGTGGCTCACACCTGTAATGCCAGCACATTGGGATGCCAAGGTGGGGAGATCACTTGAGGCCAGGAGTTCCAGACTAGCCTGGCCATTGTGTCACAAGGGTGCTGCTAGGTCTGTTGTTTAAATGGCATATAGCGGCATTGTTTCATTTAAAGATGCAGTTTTCAAGAACCTATTTTGAACATTAAGTGAGAACTTACCATACATCTGTGTTTGAGTGATATGGGGTCTGCCTTTGATGGTTGTATTACCAGAGATTTGGATAGTCATGGATTCTTTCTGGGCCATGGAAAGATTAAATATCCTTGAGGACATTAATCTATATGGCAGGCAGTAGGGTAGGGTTTTACAGTTTGTCTGCATATGATGGCCCAAATACCATGTGTATGAATGGGATTGGCTTCTACTAACTACCTGGGAACAGGTTTCACAAGTCTCCATGTGGGTCCCTGAGTGTGTACAACTGGCCATGGACTGTGGCTGTGAGAGCTAGAACTGAGTCACAGGGCTGCTTCAAGGAGCACAGTTGAGGCCAAGATCTGCAGGCCTGCCTCCAGGGCCATGGCTGGGTGTGTTTCCCTGCAGGTCACTTGATGGGAAGGACCACTTTTGGACTATAGCTGAAGGAGTTTGAGAGAGGTTGCAGAACTGCTTTGTAATCTTCAGTAAGACCAAGCTCGGTGCCCCATTTCCTTGTCTGTAGCCATGTCTGTGGGCCCTTGAGTTGGCCACCTGGGTGAGGGCCTGCTTTTCCCAAATAACCCTTTTTGATCTTTGGCACCACTGAGGTTTCACAACCCTAACCATAGGCAAGCACCTTTCTACTTCCGTTTTCCAGGAGTTTACTATTTAAAATATCTTATATACATGGAATCATACACTGTCACTTTGTTGGTGTCTTATCTCACTTAAAATAATGGCTTTAAGATTTATCCTTATTGTAGCATCTGACAAGATATTTTCATTTGATGCTAAAGAATATTTCATTGTATGTATAAGCCACATCTTTTTAAATCATTCATCTATTGAAGGGTGTTTGAGTTTTTTCACTTTTTGGCTTTTGTAAGTGATATAGTTTGGATCTGGGTCCCCATTCAAATCTCATGTCAAGTTGCAGTCCCTAGTGTTGGAGGTGGGCCTGGTGGGAGGTGATGGGATCGTAGGGTTGGCTTCTCACGAATGGTTTAGCAGCAGCCCCTTTGGTACTGTCTTTGCCATAGTGAGTGACTTCTTCTGAGATCTCATTTTTCAAAAGCATGTGGCACCTTCCCTCTCGTGCTCTCTTGTTCCTGCTCCCACCATGTGAGATGACTCTCTGTCCCTTTTCTTTCTGCCATGACTGGAAGCTTTTCAAGGCCTCCCCTAAAGCAGAAGCTGCTATGCTTGCCGTACAGCCTGCAGAACCATAAGCCAATTAAACCTCTTTTTAAAATAAATTACCAAGTCTCAGGAATTTTCTTATAGCACTGCAAGAATAAACTAATACAGTGAATATGGATGTGCAAATACTTCTTTCAGGTATACATTGCATACTTTAAATAGATGCTCAGAAGTGGAATTACTGGGTCATACAGTAACTTTATTTTTAATTTTTGGAGGAACCTCCATACATTTTTCAGGTGGCTGCATCACGTTTTTCCCACCAACAGTGTACAAGGGTTTCAATTTCTCTACATTGTTGACAATATATATTATTTTTTGTTTGCTTGATATTGGCCATCTTAATACACAGTAATACCTCATTGTGGTTTTTCTTTACATTTTTCTAAAGATTAGAATTTTTTTTTCAATAATTGTGTATTTCATCTTTGGAGAAACATTTTCATCTCTTGTCTATTAGTCATGTAAATTTTTGTTTTTTTTTTGGAGTTGTTCTGGATGTTATCTTCTGTCAAATATATGTATATTTTGGCTTTTCTGCTGCTTAGGTGGGACTCTTACTAAAACTTTAATGTGGAGAGATAAATTTAATGTAGTCTTACTTTTCTGTGCTTTTGAATTTTTTGCTCATGTGTTTGATGTTACATGCAAGAAAACATTGCTGGGATCAATGTCATAATCTTCCTATATTTTCTTCTAAAGATTGTATAATTATAATTCTTACATTTAAATATTTAACTCATTCAAGACAGTTTTTGTATATGGTTCAGGGGAAGGATCCAACCTCAGTTTTTTCATATGGATATAGAGTTTTCCAACACCATCTATTGAAGAGACTGTCTTTCTCTTATTGTGTGGTTATAGCAACATTGTTGAAGATCATTTGAACATATACACAGTGGTTGGTTTTTGAGTTCTGTGTTCTGTTCCATCATCTATTTGTCTTCTGGCAAGTACCACACTGTTTTTATTTAGCTTTGTTATCTGTTCTAAAAACAGGAAACGTTGTGCATGTAACTTTGTTCTTGTTTTCTAAGAATGTTTGGGCTATCAGTGGTCCTTTGAAATTCCATGTAAAAGTTAAGAATTGTAAAAAATACTTTTTCACAAAGTATTATTTTTATTTTCATTAGGCTTACGTTGAATTTGAATATCACTGTGTAGTATGGTCATTTAACAATATCAAATCAACTGACACAGATAAGAATATGTTCAAGAGTGTGTTGAGTTTCACAGGTTTTTGGATTTGGCAATTTTGCTTCTGCTTTTGATTTCCAGTTTTATTACAGGTGGTATGAAAGGATGTGTTGTATAATTCAGTGTTGTATGATGAGAACTACGCTCAATACTTTGATGACCAAATAATCTGTACAACAAACCTCCATGACAGAAGTTTGCCAGTATAAGAAACCTGCACATATACTCTGATCTTAAAGTTTAAAAAAAAAGGGTGGGGGGGTTGTTTTGCATTCTAACAGGTTGTCCATGAAACAACAGTTACTCATTTTCTTCTCCACTTAACCCCGACACAGTTTAGTCTTCTTTCTGTTTCTATGAGTTTAACTACTTTAGGTATCTTACATAAGTGGAATTATATCGTTTCTGTCCTTTTGTTCCTGGGCTTCTTCCACATAAATAAAGCCTTAAAAATGTATCCTTATTGTGGATTTAACAAAATTTTCTGCTTTTAAGAAGCTGAGTAATATTTAATTATTTATATATTTGAAATTGTCTTTATTCATTTATTTATTAAGAAAAGTTCTTTTCACTTACTTGCTTTTGTAGATAATGCTACCGTGAATATGGATGTGTAAATTACTCTTCATTTGATAATATATGCAAGGGACTATTTGTGTTCTTTATTCTGTTTCACTGGTATTTTAAAATTGAGTTATAAAGTATTTCAATTACTATAACTTTATAATAGGTGTTTAAAATCAGGAGGTATGGTGCTTATGATGTTGTTTCTCTTTTTGACAGTTGTTCAGCACTTCTGGTCTCTTCAGTTCTGATATGATTTTAGGATTGCTTCTTTTTTTTTTTTTGAGGCGGAGTGGAGTGCAGTGGCGCCATCTCGTTTCATTGCAAGTTCCGCCTCCCATGTTCACACCATTGTCCTGCCTCAGCCTCCCTAGTAGCTGGGACTACAGGTGCCCGCCACCACGCCCGGCTAATTTTTTGTATTTTAGTAGAGACGGGGTTTCACTGAGTTAGCCAGGATGGTCTCGATCTCCTGACCTCGTGATCCGCCCATTTCGGCCTCCCGAAGTGCTGGGATTACAGGTGTGAGCCACTGCACCACGTCAGGATTGCGTCTTATGTTAATGCGAAATATGCATAGCTGTCATACGAAGTATACCACCATTCCCTTCAGCACTCTACGTCAGAGGAGGCACGTCAGGGGAGACAAAATTCCTCTTCGGACAGTCCCTCAAAAGACAGGAATGTGGACATATATTCCACATTTCTCTTTGTCTCCTGAGGAAGAAGCATAGAGTTGGGAGTTTCTCCTGGATTGCACCATGCTGTATTGGGAGGAGGTCAGGCTGCGCTGGGCATATCTAATAAGCTTTTTCTTCTCTTCTACATGTTTTTGGCATTGTGCTCAACTGAAGTAGTACAAATTCTTAACTATGTTCAGGAATTCTCACAAAGGCAATGTGATCAGCGTGGTGTTAAGTTCATATATCTATGAAGAAACGAGGACCAGTGGTGTTTGTTTTTACGCTTTTCATTTTAAATTTATATTTTATTTATTATTTTAATTTTTGTGAGTACGTAGTACATATATGTATCTATGGATTATATCACTGATTTTGATGAAGGCATGAAATGCACAAAAATAACATCAGATAAATGGTTATTCATTGCCTCAACTATTTGTTCTTTATTTTACGAACAATCTAATAACATTCTTTTAGTTACTTAAAAATGTACAATTAAATTGCTTTGACTATAGTCACTCCCGACCAGAGAAAAACCCTGTAGACATTAGTCACTCCTCATTCTGTCTCAAACCCTCTCCCTGACCCTCAGCCCTAGGTAGCAACTACCTAGTGCGATCAATCCCATATGCATAGATTACCATATTGTGGACATTTCCTATAAGCGGAATTGCACAATAGGGGAGCTGTTATGACTGACATAACACGTAGCACAATATTTTCAAGATTCGTCCACATTGTAGGCTTACCCACAGGGGGAAACCATTTTTTTGGGGGCTTTTAGTAACACCGGTGTTTTCTCCTTCCTTACGTCCTTCTTTCCTTCCTTCCTTCCTTCCTTCCTTCCTTCCTTCCTTCCTTCCTGACTTCCTTCTTTCCTTCCCTCCTTCCTCCTATTTCTCTCTTACTCCTTCTGCCCTCTCTCTTTCCTATGCCTTAGGTGCATCCCACATTCTGCGTTTTTTTGGGGAAATCCTCGACAGGTGCAGGAAAATTGTGTTATTGTAACTATTTACCGTTATCTCTCTTTCACGGCTCTCCATCAGTTGTGAACATCTATTGGTTTATCCCAAGTCACTAAGCATATTTTCATTAGGTAAACCTGTTTTTCCTTATACAGCTGTTTCTGGAGTATAGGGTCGCATACTCATAAACCCAGTGTAACTCAGAAACGCATCTAATATTCCAGTAAACCCATCATAACGTTGAAAAATCGTAAATCAAACCATCATAAGTCACGGTTTGTCCGTGGATATGGGCGTCATCAATTCCATTGTATTCAGTAATGCTGTACACCATTAACAATGGCAGACTGATTGGGAGTGGATATTGATAGCATTATAAAAGTCAGTTATTAGAGGGATACTTCTTTAACCTGACTGAAGAACTGATCTAATGGCTTTAGTACAGTGCATGATTATGTGCGATGTTTTGAGACAGAGTAGTACATTTGTGAATGAAATTTTATGGCTTTTTTTTCACTTAGTAGGAACCATTGTGTGTGGAAAAGTGAGAAAATGGCTTTCTGCTGTAGGGTCTGGCATTCATTGTAGATGTAAGCTTATTTTTCTGTGAGCAAATCTTATTCAATAAAATACTACTCTTTATACTAAAAAACAAAAACAGTGGTGATGTGTGGTCATTACCCTCAGCAAACTTATCCAGGGAAAAGAAAACCAAACGCCACAACTCACTTATAATGGGAGCTGAAAAATGAGATCCCATGGACACAGGAAGGGGAACAACACACACTGGGGCCTTCCGGGAGACAGAGCGTTAAGAAAAACAGCTACTGCATGCTGGGCCTAATACCTAGGTGATGGGTTGACAGGTGCAGCAAACCACCATGGCACACGTTTACCTTAGTAACAAATCTGCACATCCTGCACATATACCCCAGAACTTAGGAACGAAACGAAACAAAAGACAACGAAAAAGCAATAGCAAAACGCTAAAGGCAAAATAAAGTTTCAAACTGAGAAAGTGACAGACCAACGTCTGGTTCAAATCATGGTTCTCAACCCAGGTGCCATAAGGTCAGGATAAAGGATGTGATTACATATTGTCGATAAGACATGCAGCAAATGACCAGAATGATTATTCTCAACATATGTGTGTCTTCTAATACAATGGTGACGCTAACTACCGGGACATAGCATTAGATTCCAAAGGGCCGAGTCCCGCCAGACAGGCCTCCCACACTAATAACAATGGGAAGCCCTACGTTGCTTTACCTGTGCTTCTCAGCCACTGGCTATAAATCAGGTTGCCACCACTCCCAGATTTAGTTGCATTCATTTGCTGGAAGAGCTCACAGCACGCAGGGAAACACTTACATTTGCCATTGTATTTTAGCGGACATTGCACAAAGTTCAGAAATAAATGTGGGGCCCGGCATGTGGGGAGGGGCGCACTACCTTCCAGGAAGTGTTATCCAGAAGCTCTCTGAACCCAGTCCTTTTGGGTTATGATGGAGACCTCATTCTATAGGCATGATGGGTTAAACCATAGGCTATTGGTGATCAAAACCACCTGGGGCTCTCCACCCTCCCTGGAAATTGGGGTTGAGGCTTTGCCATTCTCAGTCTGACTAAAAGAATTTACCCAAACGGAATTTTAAAACAGATGAGCATAACTGGAATCTTAATTAGATGATTGGATTATCTGGAGCCACACCTTGATATTCCTAACCCGAGCACCCTCATCCAACGAATGCTCCACCCAACTGGCTCCCAAGTCTCTACGTGGTCCCAGAGCAAAAGGATGTTGATACAACGCATATCTCCACCTTTTCTTCAAAGTCTTTTCGCTTACACGGAAAGACTTCTTCAACTGCCATGCATCAGGGTCAGGGGGAGGTCTTGTTACAACACAGATCTGCGGATCTCCGGCGTTTGACTGTGGCAAGGATGCTGCTGGTGTCAAAACCACAACGTGGGAACCACAGAACCACTAGTGGGTTTTCAGTGTTTCAGTGCATACAATTCCTAATATTTCTGGCCAAGAAAACTTGTAAGTTCTTAGATTGTCCCAAAGGTGGCGCATGAAATCAAAGCAGGAGAACAGTTTCCTACGAGGTGTAGCCTGGGAAAGTTGGGGGTGACTGATGGAAAGGAGGAGTGAAGCTCCGCCCTTTCCGCTGCTAGGCTGCGCCCGAGGCTATTTAAACCCACCCTGGCTGGCCTGTACTCAGATCTTCGCGGAGCGGATCAGCGGCCGGAGCGTTTGGCGGACTCTGCGTGGACTTGGAGCTCACAGCGTCTTGCGACTTGGAAGCGGATTCAGAGGACAGGACAGAACACTTGGGCAAGTGAATCTCTGTCTGTCTGTCTGTCTGTCTGTCTGTCTCATTGGTTGGTTGATTTCCATTTTCTTAAGGGGCACATACCTCACACCGCACACACACAAACACACACACGCGCACACACACACACACGCACACACACGCACACACACTCCTTCCTTCTGCGAGTTAGTACATTAGTAGGGGCCCCTGGGAGCTGCAGGTTTCCTAATCATGTCTGCACCTAAGAACAGTAGGGTCTTGTGTGGCTCTTCTTATGAACGGTCCCCCAGCCCGAACTCGCCAAGGTCCATGCGAGCCTCACCCAGCTTCTCCCTCTCCCCTCTCAGAAACTCAGGCTTAAGGGGAAGCTCCTCACCAGGGATCCGGAGCTACCATTCACCATCCCCTAGGGCTTCACCACACTCACCTCTGTCATCACCAGAATCCCACAAGCTCCCATTTCCCTGTCCTCACCGTGATGGGCAATCAATGAAGCCATTGGGCTCTCCCGTGTCCTCCTCTGAGGATTCCTCAGAGTCCCCACGTTCATCAATAATATACCACATGTTCTTACTGCCATCACCCAGCAGCTCACCCCCAGCTCTCGGGGGGTCTCCTGTGTCTCCCAGCTACTCTCCAAACAACGCCAGATTTCAGCTGGAGTCAGCCCCCCACACCCAGGAATCACCTACAAACTCACGAGCCTCACGGTGCTCCACCCCCGTGTCTTTCATCTCTTCACCCCCAGGCCTCAGGGACTCTCCTGTGGCTCCCAGTTACTCTCCAGCCATCCCCAGGTTCCTGCGGGAGTCAGCCCCATGCACCCAGGAGTCCCCCAGAGACTCACAGGTCTCGGGAGAAAGTGAGCGGTCCCCCAGCCCTGACTCCTCAAGATTCATGCCTGCCTCACCCAGCTTCTCCCTCTCCCCTCCCAGAAACTCAGACCCAAGGGGCAGCTCCTCACCAGGGATGTGGAAGTCCTCTACATCATCCCGCAGGGCTTCAGCACTCTCACATCCGTCATCAACAGAATTCCACAACTTTACGTTTCCCTTTCCTAACCAAGCAGGACAGTCACTCATGTCATTGTGTTCTCCCGTGACCTCCTCTGGAGATTCTTCACAGTCACCTCATTCATCAATAATATACCATATGTTCTTACTGCCATCATCCAGCAGCTCACCCCCAGCCACCCATGACTCTCCTGTCTGTCCCAGCTACTCTCCAACTACGCCCAGATTTCAGCGGGAGTCTGTACCCCACACCCCAGAAACACCTACAAACTCACAGACCTCAGTGAGATCCTCGCCAGTCTCTCTCACGTCTTCACCCCCAGCCCTTACGGACCCTCCAGTCTGTCCCAGCTACTCTCCAACCACGCCCACATTTCAGCGCGGGTCAGTTCCAGGATCGAAGGGATCACCACCAAGCCCACCGCTTTCACTGAGTTACTCCCCAGTCTCTAGCACGTCTTTATCTCCAACCCTCAGGGACTCGCCTGTCTGTCCCAGCCACTCTCCAAACACGCCCACACTTCAGCGGGAGTCCGTTGCAGGCACCCAGAAGTCACCACCAAACTCACCAATTTCACTGCGTTACTCCCCAGTCTCTCTCATGTCTTCACCATCCCTCAGGGACTCTCCCGTCTGTCCCAGCTACTCTCCAACCACGCCCACATTTCAGCTGGAGTCAGTTCCAGGCACCCCGGAATCACCACCAAACTCACCAATTTCACTCAGTTACTCCTCAGTCTCTAGCACGTCTTTATCTCCAACCCTCAGGGACTCTCCTGTGTGTCCCAGCTACTCTCCAACCACGCCCACACTTCAGCGGGAGTCAGTTCCAGGCACCCAGGAATCACCACCAAACTCACCAATTTCACTCAATTACTCTCCAGTCTCTCTCGTGTCTTCACCAGCCCTCAGGGACTCTCCTGTCTGTCCCAGTTACTCTCCAACCACGCCCACATTTCAGCTGGAGTCAGTTCCAGGCACCCCGGAGTCACCACCAAACTCACCAGTTTCACTCAGTTACTCCCCGGTCTCTCTCATGTCTTCACCCCCAGCCCTCAGGGACTCTCCTGTGTGTCCCAGCTACTCTCCAACCATGCCCAGATTTCAGCGGGAGTCTGTTCCAGGCACCCATGTATCACCACCAAACTCAGCAGTTTCACTGAGTTACTCCCCAGTCTCTCTCATGTCTTCACCCCCAGACCCCTGGGACTCTCCTGTCTGTCCCAGCTACTCTCCCACCACGCCCAGATTTCAGCGGGAGTCAGCCTCCCACACTCCAGAATCAGATACAGACTCACAGACTTCACTGAGCTCCTCCCTGGTCTCTCTCAGGTCTTTGCCCTCATCCCACAGGGACTCTTGTGTCTCTTTCAGCTACTCTCAAAACTTCTCTAGATTCCAGCTGGAGTCAGTTCCAGGCACCCACGATACACCACCGAACTCACGAATTTCACTGACTTACTCCCCAGTCTCCCTCATGTTCTCACCCCCAGCCCTCAGGGACTCTTCTGTCTCTCTCAGCTACTCTCCAACCATCTCCAGATTTCACCTGGAGTCAGCTTCCCACACCCTGGAATCACCTGCAAACTCACGGACCTTACTGCAACCATCCCCCATTTCTTTCAACTCTTCACCCCCTGCCTTCAGGGACTCTCCTGGGTCTCCCAGCTTCTCTCCAGCCTTCCCCAGATTTCTGCCACAGTCAGCCCCAGGCACCCAGGACAACCCTAGACACTCACAGGCCTCACCAGACTATCTCCCTATGACCTGTACCTATACAGGGATGGCTCCCACGCATCCCTCAGTGACCCCAAACCCATCTCCACTTACACTCAGGCACTCCCAGGGCCTGACAGCTACTCCCCGTTATTGTCCTTCAGTTCGAAGCCCTGGCCAATCTATTAGCCCACATGACGCAGTTACCTGGCCATTTCTCCACGGTTCCCGGGAGGGCCCCACACCCAGCCGCACAAGAGCCCCTCCTGCATTCCGTCCTCACACGCAGGCCTGTCCATCTACTTGCTACTGTCACACTCTTGCCAGCAGAAGAGGCCCCTGTAATGGCCGATATCACCACCCAGTCTATCCTCACCCCACAGCTGTGCAGCGGGAACCCCCTGCTGGCCCACGTGGCTGCCACAGCCCATGCTGGCACGACGCTCCAGCAGGTCGGCGTTCCTGCGGGCCAAACTACCGGTGACGTGTCTAGCGTGACCCTCCTTCCTGGCAGTGACACTGTTGATGTGAACCCCAATTTCACATCTGTCGTTTGTAAATAGGACCATTTTCCCTTTTCGCTCTCCCTTCCATTCACAGGGCTTTTCATTCTCTCTGTTACTGCCTCCGTTTCAGATATTTACTCACCTTTTTCTCTCTCACTTTGTCTGCCATGGGCTCTATGAGAGTGCGCCACATAAGATTCCCCAATTAAAAGTCGTGAATTGAGTGGCTTTTAGTATACCTGTGGTTGTGCACATTCAAATTTAATTCGCAATTCATTGTAGAACGTCTTATCACTCCCGGCCAGAGAAAAACCCTGTAGACATTAGTCACTCCTCATTCTGTCTCAAACCCTCTCCCTGACCCTCAGCCCTAGGTAGCAACTACCTAGTGCGATCAATCCCATATGCATAGATTACCATATTGTGGACATTTCCTATAAGCGGAATTGCACAATAGGTGAGCTGTTATGACTGACATAACACGTAGCACAATATTTTCAAGATTCGTCCACATTGTAGGCTTACCCACAGGGGGAAACCATTTTTTTGGGGGCTTTTAGTAACACCGGTGTTTTCTCCTTCCTTACGTCCTTCTTTCCTTCCTTCCTTCCTTCCTTCCTTCCTGACTTCCTTCTTTCCTTCCCTCCTTCCTCCTATTTCTCTCTTACTCCTTCTGCCCTCTCTCTTTCCTATGCCTTAGGTGCATCCCACATTCTGCGTTTCTTTGGGGAAATCCTCGACAGGTGCAGGAAAATTGTGTTATTGTAACTATTTACCGTTATCTCTCTTTCACGGCTCTCCATCAGTTGTGAACATCTATTGGTTTATCCCAAGTCACTAAGCATATTTTCATTAGGTAAACCTGTTTTTCCTTATACAGCTGTTTCTGGAGTATAGGGTCGCATACTCATAAACCCAGTGTAACTCAGAAACGCATCTAATATTCCAGTAAACCCATCATAACGTTGAAAAATCGTAAATCAAACCATCATAAGTCACGGTTTGTCCGTGGATATGGGCGTCATCAATTCCATTGTATTCAGTAATGCTGTACACCATTAACAATGGCAGACTGATTGGGAGTGGATATTGATAGCATTATAAAAGTCAGTTATTAGAGGGATACTTCTTTAACCTGACTGAAGAACTGATCTAATGGCTTTAGTACAGTGCATGATTATGTGCGATGTTTTGAGACAGAGTAGTACATTTGTGAATGAAATTTTATGGCTTTTTTTTCACTTAGTAGGAACCATTGTGTGTGGAAAAGTGAGAAAATGGCTTTCTGCTGTAGGGTCTGGCATTCATTGTAGATGTAAGCTTATTTTTCTGTGAGCAAATCTTATTCAATAAAATACTACTCTTTATACTAAAAAACAAAAACAGTGGTGATGTGTGGTCATTACCCTCAGCAAACTTATCCAGGGAAAAGAAAACCAAACGCCACAACTCACTTATAATGGGAGCTGAAAAATGAGATCCCATGGACACAGGAAGGGGAACAACACACACTGGGGCCTTCCGGGAGACAGAGCGTTAAGAAAAACAGCTACTGCATGCTGGGCCTAATACCTAGGTGATGGGTTGACAGGTGCAGCAAACCACCATGGCACACGTTTACCTTAGTAACAAATCTGCACATCCTGCACATATACCCCAGAACTTAGGAACGAAACGAAACAAAAGACAACGAAAAAGCAATAGCAAAACGCTAAAGGCAAAATAAAGTTTCAAACTGAGAAAGTGACAGACCAACGTCTGGTTCAAATCATGGTTCTCAACCCAGGTGCCATAAGGTCAGGATAAAGGATGTGATTACATATTGTCGATAAGACATGCAGCAAATGACCAGAATGATTATTCTCAACATATGTGTGTCTTCTAATTCAATGGTGACGCTATCTACCGGGACATAGCATTAGATTCCAAAGGGCCGAGTCCCGCCAGACAGGCCTCCCACACTAATAACAATGGGAAGCCCTACGTTGCTTTACCTGTGCTTCTCAGCCACTGGCTATAAATCAGGTTGCCACCACTCCCAGATTTAGTTGCATTCATTTGCTGGAAGAGCTCACAGCACGCAGGGAAACACTTACATTTGCCATTGTATTTTAGCGGACATTGCACAAAGTTCAGAAATAAATGTGGGGCCCGGCATGTGGGGAGGGGCGCACTACCTTCCAGGAAGTGTTATCCAGAAGCTCTCTGAACCCAGTCCTTTTGGGTTATGATGGAGACCTCATTCTATAGGCATGATGGGTTAAACCATAGGCTATTGGTGATCAAAACCACCTGGGGCTCTCCACCCTCCCTGGAAATTGGGGTTGAGGCTTTGCCATTCTCAGTCTGACTAAAAGAATTTACCCAAACGGAATTTTAAAACAGATGAGCATAACTGGAATCTTAATTAGATGATTGGATTATCTGGAGCCACACCTTGATATTCCTAACCCGAGCACCCTCATCCAACGAATGCTCCACCCAACTGGCTCCCAAGTCTCTACGTGGTTCCAGAGCAAAAGGATGTTGATACAACGCATATCTCCACCTTTTCTTCAAAGTCTTTTCGCTTACACGGAAAGACTTCTTCAACTGCCATGCATCAGGGTCAGGGGGAGGTCTTGTTACAACACAGATCTGCGGATCTCCGGCGTTTGACTGTGGCAAGGATGCTGCTGGTGTCAAAACCACAACGTGGGAACCACAGAACCACTAGTGGGTTTTCAGTGTTTCAGTGCATACAATTCCTAATATTTCTGGCCAAGAAAACTTGTAAGTTCTTAGATTGTCCCAAAGGTGGCGCATGAAATCAAAGCAGGAGAACAGTTTCCTACGAGGTGTAGCCTGGGAAAGTTGGGGGTGACTGATGGAAAGGAGGAGTGAAGCTCCGCCCTTTCCGCTGCTAGGCTGCGCCCGAGGCTATTTAAACCCACCCTGGCTGGCCTGTACTCAGATCTTCGCGGAGCGGATCAGCGGCCGGAGCGTTTGGCGGACTCTGCGTGGACTTGGAGCTCACAGCGTCTTGCGACTTGGAAGCGGATTCAGAGGACAGGACAGAACACTTGGGCAAGTGAATCTCTGTCTGTCTGTCTGTCTGTCTGTCTGTCTGTCTGTCTCATTGGTTGGTTGATTTCCATTTTCTTAAGGGGCACATACCTCACACCGCACACACACAAACACACACACGCACACACACACACACACGCACACACACGCACACACACTCCTTCCTTCTGCGATTTAGAACATTAGTAGGGGCCCCTGGGAGCTGCAGGTTTCCTAATCATGTCTGCACCTAAGAACAGTAGGGTCTTGTGTGGCTCTTCTTATGAACGGTCCCCCAGCCCGAACTCGCCAAGGTCCATGCGAGCCTCACCCAGCTTCTCCCTCTCCCCTCTCAGAAACTCAGGCTTAAGGGGAAGCTCCTCACCAGGGATCCGGAGCTACCATTCACCATCCCCTAGGGCTTCACCACACTCACCTCTGTCATCACCAGAATCCCACAAGCTCCCATTTCCCTGTCCTCACCGTGATGGGCAATCAATGAAGCCATTGGGCTCTCCCGTGTCCTCCTCTGAGGATTCCTCAGAGTCCCCACGTTCATCAATAATATACCACATGTTCTTACTGCCATCACCCAGCAGCTCACCCCCAGCTCTCGGGGGGTCTCCTGTGTCTCCCAGCTACTCTCCAAACAACGCCAGATTTCAGCTGGAGTCAGCCCCCCACACCCAGGAATCACCTACAAACTCACGAGCCTCACGGTGCTCCACCCCCGTGTCTTTCATCTCTTCACCCCCAGGCCTCAGGGACTCTCCTGTGGCTCCCAGTTACTCTCCAGCCATCCCCAGGTTCCTGCGGGAGTCAGCCCCATGCACCCAGGAGTCCCCCAGAGACTCACAGGTCTCGGGAGAAAGTGAGCGGTCCCCCAGCCCTGACTCCTCAAGATTCATGCCTGCCTCACCCAGCTTCTCCCTCTCCCCTCCCAGAAACTCAGACCCAAGGGGCAGCTCCTCACCAGGGATGTGGAAGTCCTCTACATCATCCCGCAGGGCTTCAGCACTCTCACATCCGTCATCAACAGAATTCCACAACTTTACGTTTCCCTTTCCTAACCAAGCAGGACAGTCACTCATGTCATTGTGTTCTCCCGTGACCTCCTCTGGAGATTCTTCACAGTCACCTCATTCATCAATAATATACCATATGTTCTTACTGCCATCATCCAGCAGCTCACCCCCAGCCACCCATGACTCTCCTGTCTGTCCCAGCTACTCTCCAACCCCAGTTTCACAGCTGTCATTTGTAAATAGGACCATTTTCCCTTTTCTCTCTCCCTTCCATTCACAGGGCTTCTCATTCTCTCTGTTTCTGCCTCCGTTTCAGAGATTTACTCACCTTTTTCTCTCTCACTATGTCTGCCGTGGTCTCCATAAGAGTGTGCCACATAAAATTGCCCCATTAAAAGTCATGAATTGAGTGGATTTTAGTATACCTGTGGTTGTGCACATTCAATTTTAATTCGCGATCCATTTTAGAAGGTTTTATCACCCCCGACCAGAGAAACACCCTGTGGACATTAGTCACTCCTCATTCTGTCTCAAACCCTCTCCCTGACCCTCAGCCCTAGGTAACAACTGCATAGAGGGATCAACCCCATATGCATAGATTTCCATATTGTGGACATTTCCTATAAACGGAATTGCACAATACGTGAGCTTTTGTGACTGACATAACACTTTTAGCACAGTAGTTTCAAGATTCATCCACATTGCAGCCATACCCAAAGGGGGAAACCGCATTTTGTGGTTTCAGTAACACCGGGTGTTTTCTCCTTCCTTCCGTCTTTCCTTCCTTCCTTCCTTCCTTCCTTCCTTCCTTCCTTCCTTCCTTCCTTCTTCCCTTCCTTCCTCCCTTCCTCCCATTTCTCTCTTATTCCTTCTGCCCTCTCTCTTTCATATGCCTTAGGTGCATCCTACGTCCTGCATCTTTTTGGGGAATCCTCGACAGGTGCTGGAAAATTGTGTTATTGTAATTATTTACCGGTATCTCTCTTTCATGGTTCTCCATCAGTTGTAAGCATCTATTGGTTTATCCCAGGTCACTAAGTATATTTTAATTAGGTACACCTGTTTTTCTTTATACACCTGTTTCTGGAGTATAGGGTCGCATACTCATAAACCCAGTGTAACTCAGAAACGCATCTAATATTCCAATAGACCCATCATAACGTTGAAAAATCATAAATCAAACCAACTTAAGTCACGATTTGTCGCTGGATATGGACTCCATCAATTCCATTGTATTCAATAATGCTGTACACCATTAACAATGGCAGACTGATTGGGCGTGGATGTGGATAACATTATAAAAATCAGTTATTAGAGGGATACTTTAACCTGACGGAAGAGCTGATCTAATGGTATTAGTACATTGATGATTATGTGAGATGTTTTGAGACAGTGTATGAGATTCTGTGGCTTTTTTCACTTAGTAGGAACCTTTGTGTGTGGAAAACTGAGAAAATTGCTTTGTGCTGTAGAGTCTGGCATTCGTTGTAGATTAAAGCTTATTTTTCTGGAAGTAAATCTTATTCAATAAAATACTACTCTTTATAATAAAAAACAAAGACACTGGTGATGTGAAGTCATTATCCTCAGCAAACTAATCCAGGAACAGAAAACCAAGCGCCACATTCTCACTTATAATGGGAGCTGAAAAATGGGATCACGTGGACACAGGAAGGGGAACAACACACACTGGGGCCTTTCGGGAGGCAGAGCGTTAAGAAAAACAGCTACTGCATGCTGGGCTTAATACCTAGGTGATGGGTTGACAGGTGCAGCAAACCACCATGGCACACGTTTACCTTAGTAACCAATCTGCACAGCCTGCCCATATATCCCAGAACTTAGAAACGAAACGAAAGCAAAGAAAACGAGAAAGCGATAGCAAAACGCTAACGGCGAAACAGAGTTTCAAACTCAGAAAGTGACAGACCAATGTTTGGTTCAAATCATGGTTCTCAACCCAGGTGCCATAAGGTCAGGATAAAGAATTTGATGATGTATTGTAAATAAGACATGCAGCGGAGGACCAGAAAAATCGTTCTCAACATACGTGTGGCTTCGAGTTCAATGGTGACGCTATCTACCGGGACATAGCATTAGATTCCAAAGGGCCGAGTCCCGCAAGACTGGCCTCCCACACTAATAACAATGGGAAGCCCTACGTTGCTTTACCTGTGCTTCTCAGCAACTGGCTATAAATCAAGTTTCCACCACTCCCAGTTTTAGTTGCATTCATTTGCTGGAAGAGCTCACAGCACGCAGGGAAACACTGACATTTCCCATTTTCTGTATTTTAGCAGATATTGCAAAAACTTCAGAAAAAACTTTTGGGCCCGGCATGTGGGGAGGGGCGCACTGCCTTCCAGGAAGTGTTATCCAGAAGCTCTCTAAACCCAGTCCTTTTGGGTTTTTATGGAGACCTCATTCTATAGGCATGATGGGTTAAACCATAGGCTATTGGTGATCAACTCAACCTGAGGCTCTCAACCCTCCCTGGAAATTGGGGTTGAGGCTTTGCCATTCTCAGTCTGAGTAAAAGAATTTACACAAACGGAATTTTAAAACAGATTAGCATATCTGGAAACTTAACTAGATGACGGAATTATCTGGAGCCACACCTTGATATTCCTAACCCGAGCACCCTCATCCAACGAATGCTCCACCCAACTGGCTCCCAAGTCTCTACGGGGTTCCAGAGCAAAAGAATGTTTATACAACGCATATCTCCACCTTTTCTTCAAAGTCTTTTCGCTTACACGAAAAGACTTCTTCAACTGCCATGCATCAGGGTCAGGGGGAGGTCTTGTTACAACACAGATCTGCGGATCTCCGGGGTTTGATTGTGGCAAGGATGCTGCTGGTGTCAAAACCACAACGTGGGAACCACAGAACCACTAGTTGGTTTTCAGTGTTTCAGTGCATACAATTCCTAATATATCTGGCCAAGAAAACTTGTAAGTTCTTAGATTGTCCCAAAGGTGGCGCATGAAATCAAATCAGGAGAACAGTTTCCTACGAGGTGTAGCCTGGGAAGGTTGGGGGTGACTGATGGAAAGGAGGAGTGAAGCTCCGCCCTTCCCGCTGCGAGGCTGCGCCCGAGGCTATTTAAACCCACCCTGGCTGGCCTGTACTCAGATCTTCGCAGAGCGGAGCAGCGGCCGGAGCGTTTGGAGGACTCTGCGTGGACTTGGAGCTCACAGCGTCTTGCGACTTGGAAGCGGATTCAGAGGACAGGACAGAACACTTGGGCAAGTGAATCTCTGTCTGTCTGTCTGTCTCATTGGTTGGTTTATTTCCATTTTCTTAAGGAGCACATACCTCACACCACACACACACAAACACACACACACGCACGCACGCATGCACACACACAAACACACACACACACTAATTCATTCTGCGGGTTTGGAAATTAGTAGGGGTCTCTGGGAGCTGCAGGTTTCCTAATCATGTCTGCACCTAAGAACACTAGGGTCTTGTCTGGCTCTTCTTATGAACGGTCCCCCAGCCCGGACTCCCCAAGATCCATGCTAGCCTCACCCAGCTTCTCCCTCTCCCCTCTCAGAAACTCAGACTTAAGAGGAAGCTCCTCACCAGGGATCCGGAGCTACCATTCACCATCCCCTAGGGCTTCACCACACTCACCTCTGTCATCACCAGTATCCCACAATCTCCCATTTCCCTGTCCTCTCCGTGATGGGCAATCCATGAAGCCATTGGGCTCTCCCGTGTCCTCCTCTGAGGATTCTTCAGAGTCACCACGTTCATCAGTAATATACCACATGTTCCTACTGCCATCACCCAGCAGCTCACCCCCAGCTCTCGGGGAGTCTCCTGGGTCTCCCAGCTACTCTCCAAACAACCCCAGATTTCAGCTGGAGTCAGCCCCCCACACCCAGGAATCACCTGCAAACTCACGAGCCTCACGGTGCTCCTCCCCTATGTCTTTCATCTCTTCACCCCCAGGCCTCAGGGACTCTCCTGTGGCTCCCAGTTACTCTCCAGCCATCCCCAGGTTCCTGCGGGAGTCAGCCCCATGCACTCAGGAGTCCCCCAGAGACTCACAGGTCTCGGGAGAATATGAGCGGTCCCCCAGCCCTGACTCCTCAAGATTCATGCCTGCCTCACCCAGCATCTACCTCTCCCCTCCCAGGAACTCAGACCCAAGGGGCAGCTCCTCACAAGGGATGTGGAAGTACTCTACATCATCCCGCAGGGTTTCACCACTCTCACATCCGTCATCGGCAGAATTCCACAACTTTACATTTCCCTTTCCTAACCAAGCAGGACAATCACTCATGTCATTGTGTTCTCCCGTGTCCTCCTCTGGAGATTCCTCACAGTCACCCCAGTCATCAATAATATACCATATGTTCTTACTGCCATCATCCAGCAGCTCACCCCCAGCCACCAATGACTCTCCTGTCTGTCCCAGCTACTCTCCAACTACGCCCAGATTTCAGCGGGCGTCGGTATCCCACACCCCAGAAACACCTACAAACTCACAGACCTCAGTGAGATCCTCGCCAGTCTCTCTCACGTCTTCACCCCCAGGCCTTACGGACCCTCCAGTCTCTCCCAGCTACTCTCCAACCACGCCCACATTTCAGCGCGGGTCAGATCCAGGGACCCAGGGATCACCACCAAGCCCACCACTTTCACTGTGTTACTCCCCAGTCTCAAGCACGTCTTTATCTCCAACCCTCAGGAACTCTCCTGTCTGTCCCAGCTACTCTCCAACCACGCCCACGTTTCAGCGGGAGTCCGTTGCAGGCACCCAGAAATCACCACCAAACTCACCAATTTCACTCAATTACTCTCCAGTCTCTCTCATGTCTTCACCAGCCCTCAGGGACTCTCCCATCTGTCCCAGCTACTCTCCAACCACCCCCAGATTTCAGCTGGAAGAAGTTCCTTGCACCCAGGAATCACCACCAAACTCACCAATTTCACTCAATTACTCTCCAGTCTCTCTCATGTCTTCACCAGCCCTCAGGGACTCTCCCGTCTGTCCCAGCTACTCTCCAACAACGCCCACATTTCAGCTGGAAGCAGTTCCTTGCTCCCCGGAATCAACACCAAACTCACCAATTTCACTCAATTACTCTCCAGTCTCTCTCATGTCTTCACCAGCCATCAGGGACTCTCCTGTGTGTCCCAGCTACTCTCCAACCACGCCCACATTTCAGCTGGAGTCAGTTCCAGGCACCCTGGAGTCACCACCAAACTCACCAATTTCACTCAATTACTCTCCAGTCTCTCTCATGTCTTCACCAGCCCTCAGGGACTCTACTGTCTGTCCCAGCTACTCTCCAACCACGCCCATATTTCAGCTGGAAGCAGTTCCTTGCACCCCAGAATCACCACCAAACTCACTAATTTCACTCAATTACTCTCTAGTCTCTCTCATGTCTTCACCAGCCCTCAGGGACCCTCCTGTCTGTCCCAGCTACTCTCCAACCGCCCCCAGATTTCAGCTGGAGTCATTTCCAGGCACCCCGGATTCACCACCAAACTCACCAGTTTCACTGAGTTACTCCCCGGTCTCTCTCATGTCTTCACCGCCAGCCCTCAGGGACTCTCCTGTGTGTCCCAGCTACTCTCCAACCACGCCCACATTTCAGCTGGAGTCAGTTCCAGGCACCCCTGAGTCACCACCAAACTCACCAATTTCACTCAATTACTCTCCAGTCTCTCTCATGTCTTCACCAGTCCTCAGGGACTCTCCCATCTGTCCCAGCTACTCTCCAACCACGCCCAGATTTCAGCTGGAAGCAGTTCCTTGCACCCCAGAATCACCTCCAAACTCACCAATTTCACTCAATTACTCTCTAGTCTCTCTCATGTCTTCACCAGCCCTCAGGGACCCTCCTGTCTGTCCCAGCTACTCTCCAACCACCCCCAGATTTCAGCTGGAGTCAGTTCCAGGCACCCCGGCGTCCCCACCAAACTCACCAGTTTCACTGAGTTACTCCCCGGTCTCTCTCATGTCTTCACCGCCAGCCCTCAGGGACTCTCCTGTGTGTCCCAGCTACTCTCCAACCACGCCCACATTTCAGCTGGAGTCACTTGCAGGCACCCAGGAATTACCTACAAACTCAGCAGTTTCACTGAGTTACTCCCCAGTCTCTCTCATGTCTTCACCCCCAGCCCCCTGGGACTCTCCTGTCTGTCCCAGCTACTCTCCCACCACGCCCAGGTTTCAGAGGGAGTCAGCCTCCCACACTCCGGAATCACCTACAGACTCACAGACTTCACGGAGGTCCTCCCTGGTCTCTCTCAGGTCTTTGCCCTCAGCCCACAGGGACTCTTGTGTCTCTTTCAGCTACTCTCGAAACTTCTCTAGATTCCAGCTGGACTCAGTTCCAGGCACCCACGACACACCACCAAAATCACGAATTTCACTGAATTACTCCCCAGTCTCTCTCATGTTCTCACCCCCAGCCCTCAGGGACTCTTCTGTCTCTCTCAGCTACTCTCCAACCATCTCCACATCACACCTGGGGTCAGATTCCCACACCCAGGAATCACCTACAAACTCAGGGACCTTACTGCAACCCTCCCCCATTTCTTTCACCTCTTCACCCCCTGCTTTCAGGGACTCTCCTGTGCCTCCCAGCTTCTCTCCAGCCTTCCCCAGATTTCTGCCACAGTCAGCCCCAGGCACCCAGGGGAATCCTGGACACTCACAGGCCTCACGAGACTATTTCCCAATGACTTGTATCTATAGAGGGATGGCTCCCATGCTTCCCTCAGTGACCCCAAACCCATCTCCACTTACACTCAGACACTCCCAGGGCCTGACAGCTACTCCCCGTTATTGTCCTTCAGCTCGAAGCCCTGGCCCATCTACTAGCCAACATGATGCAGCTACCTGGCCATGTCTCCACATTTCTGGGGAGGGCCCCACACCCAGCCACAGAAGAGCCCCTCCTGCATTCCGTCCTCACACACAGGCCTGTCCTTCCACTTGCTACTGTCACACTCTTGCCAGCAGAAGAGGCCCCTGTAATGGCCGATATCACCGCCCAGTCTATCCTCACCCCACAGCTGTGCAGCGGGACCCTCCTGCTGGCCCACGTGGCTGCCACAGCCCATGCTGGCACGACGCTCCAGCATGTCGGCGTCCCTGCGGGCCACGCTACCGGTGACATGGCTAGCATCACCCTCCTTCCTGGCAGTGACACTGCTGATTTGAACCCCAGTTTCACAGCTGTCATTTGTAAATAGGACCATTTTCCCTTTTCTCTCTCCCTTCCATTCACAGGGCTTCTCATTCTCTCTGTTTCTGCCTCCGTTTCAGAGATTTACTCACCTTTTTCTCTCTCACTATGTCTGCCGTGGTCTCCATAAGAGTGTGCCACATAAAATTGCCCCATTAAAAGTCATGAATTGAGTGGATTTTAGTATACCTGTGGTTGTGCACATTCAATTTTAATTCGCGATCCATTTTAGAAGGTTTTATCACCCCCGACCAGAGAAACACCCTGTGGACATTAGTCACTCCTCATTCTGTCTCAAACCCTCTCCCTGACCCTCAGCCCTAGGTAACAACTGCATAGAGGGATCAACCCCATATGCATAGATTTCCATATTGTGGACATTTCCTATAAACGGAATTGCACAATACGTGAGCTTTTGTGACTGACATAACACTTTTAGCACAGTAGTTTCAAGATTCATCCACATTGCAGCCATACCCAAAGGGGGAAACCGCATTTTGTGGTTTCAGTAACACCGGGTGTTTTCTCCTTCCTTCCGTCTTTCCTTCCTTCCTTCCTTCCTTCCTTCCTTCCTTCCTTCCTTCCTTCCTTCTTCCCTTCCTTCCTCCCTTCCTCCCATTTCTCTCTTATTCCTTCTGCCCTCTCTCTTTCATATGCCTTAGGTGCATCCTACGTCCTGCGTCTTTTTGGGGAATCCTCGACAGGTGCTGGAAAATTGTGTTATTGTAATTATTTACCGGTATCTCTCTTTCATGGTTCTCCATCAGTTGTAAGCATCTATTGGTTTATCCCAGGTCACTAAGTATATTTTAATTAGGTACACCTGTTTTTCTTTATACACCTGTTTCTGGAGTATAGGGTCGCATACTCATAAACCCAGTGTAACTCAGAAACGCATCTAATATTCCAATAGACCCATCATAACGTTGAAAAATCATAAATCAAACCAACTTAAGTCACGATTTGTCGCTGGATATGGGCTCCATCAATTCCATTGTATTCAATAATGCTGTACACCATTAACAATGGCAGACTGATTGGGCGTGGATGTGGATAACATTATAAAAATCAGTTATTAGAGGGATACTTTAACCTGACGGAAGAGCTGATCTAATGGTATTAGTACAGTGATGATTATGTGAGATGTTTTGAGACAGTGTATGAGATTCTGTGGCTTTTTTCACTTAGTAGGAACCTTTGTGTGTGGAAAACTGAGAAAATTGCTTTGTGCTGTAGAGTCTGGCATTCGTTGTAGATTAAAGCTTATTTTTCTGGAAGTAAATCTTATTCAATAAAATACTACTCTTTATAATAAAAAACAAAGACACTGGTGATGTGAAGTCATTATCCTCAGCAAACTAATCCAGGAACAGAAAACCAAGCGCCACATTCTCACTTATAATGGGAGCTGAAAAATGGGATCACGTGGACACAGGAAGGGGAACAACACACACTGGGGCCTTTCGGGAGGCAGAGCGTTAAGAAAAACAGCTACTGCATGCTGGGCTTAATACCTAGGTGATGGGTTGACAGGTGCAGCAAACCACCATGGCACACGTTTACCTTAGTAACCAATCTGCACAGCCTGCCCATATATCCCAGAACTTAGAAACGAAACGAAAGCAAAGAAAACGAGAAAGCGATAGCAAAACGCTAACGGCGAAACAGAGTTTCAAACTGAGAAAGTGACAGACCAATGTTTGGTTCAAATCATGGTTCTCAACCCAGGTGCCATAAGGTCAGCATAAAGAATTTGATGACGTATTGTAAATAAGACATGCAGCGGAGGACCAGAAAAATCGTTCTCAACATACGTGTGGCTTCGAGTTCAACGGTGACGCTATCTACCGGGACATAGCATTAGATTCCAAAGGGCCGAGTCCCGCAAGACTGGCCTCCCACACTAATAACAATGGGAAGCCCTACGTTGCTTTACCTGTGCTTCTCAGCAACTGGCTATAAATCAAGTTTCCACCACTCCCAGTTTTAGTTGCATTCATTTGCTGGAAGAGCTCACAGCACGCAGGGAAACACTGACATTTCCCATTTTCTGTATTTTAGCAGATATTGCAAAAACTTCAGAAAACTTTTGGGCCCGGCATGTGGGGAGGGGCGCACTGCCTTCCAGGAAGTGTTATCCAGAAGCTCTCTAAACCCAGTCCTTTTGGGTTTTTATGGAGACCTCATTCTATAGGCATGATGGGTTAAACCATAGGCTATTGGTGATCAACTCAACCTGAGGCTCTCAACCCTCCCTGGAAATTGGGGTTGAGGCTTTGCCATTCTCAGTCTGAGTAAAAGAATTTACACAAACGGAATTTTAAAACAGATTAGCATATCTGGAATCTTAACTAGATGACGGAATTATCTGGAGCCACACCTTGATATTCCTAACCCGAGCACCCTCATCCAACGAATGCTCCACCCAACTGGCTCCCAAGTCTCTACGGGGTTCCAGAGCAAAAGAATGTTTATACAACGCATATCTCCACCTTTTCTTCAAAGTCTTTTCGCTTACACGGAAAGACTTCTTCAACTGCCATGCATCAGGGTCAGGGGGAGGTCTTGTTACAACACAGATCTGCGGATCTCCGGGGTTTGATTGTGGCAAGGATGCTGCTGGTGTCAAAACCACAACGTGGGAACCACAGAACCACTAGTTGGTTTTCAGTGTTTCAGTGCATACAACTCCTAATATATCTGGCCAAGAAAACTTGTAAGTTCTTAGATTGTCCCAAAGGTGGCGCATGAAATCAAATCAGGAGAACAGTTTCCTACGAGGTGTAGCCTGGGAACGTTGGGGGTGACTGATGGAAAGGAGGAGTGAAGCTCCGCCCTTTCCGCTGCGAGGCTGCGCCCGAGGCTATTTAAACCCACCCTGGCTGGCCTGTACTCAGATCTTCGCAGAGCGGAGCAGCGGCCGGAGCTTTTGGAGGACTCTGCGTGGACTTGGAGCTCACAGCGTCTTGCGACTTGGAAGCGGATTCAGAGGACAGGACAGAACACTTGGGCAAGTGAAGGGATTGTGCATCTCCCTATATATTGTCCATAACATCCAGGGCAGGAGAGGATATTACTACTCCCTGTATCGCAGGGGGTGGACACCCCCCTGTAAATATGTCTAACATCCAGGCGGGGACAAGAGGATATTATTCCCCATATCGCAGAGAGAGTAAACCCCCTGTGATATTGTCCATAACATCCAGTGGGGAGAGGAGGATGTCACTCCCCATATTGCAGGGGGTGCACACTCCACTCTGATATTGGCCATAATATCCGGGGGGTGGTGAAGTGTGAAGTCACTACACATATCACAGGGATTATTAGTATCAGATTGTTTGAAGGGCTCACAGTAAGTGTAGTAGTAGGGCAAGTTCTAACTCAAATAGGGGAAATGTGGTGGCTACTAGAAAGAATTTTATGGAGAAGGGAATGTAGGCAGAGGATAGAGGGTCAAATCTGCATTCATAAGGGCTAGATTTTTCTATATATATTTATTTTATACATATATATATATTTTTCTCTGTCTCTCTATATATATACTAAGTTGTGGTAGCCAAAATGTAATAATTATTAGTAACAGGGCTAATAGTGTGTTGATTACTAGGGTTAATGTTAGGTGAATTACTGTTTTTCGGATGCTATCGAAACTTTGGAAATCATAGTACTATTTATACTAAAAGAGTAAGATCCTCATCAATAAATAGAAACATATAAGAATAGTCATACTACATCTACAAAGTGTCGATATCAGGCAGCGGCTTCAAAGGCAAACTGATGACTAGATGTAAAGTGGTAATTTAATTGGCGGAGAAGGCAGACTGAGGAATGTTGACCCAATAATGACGTGAAGTCTGTGAAAGCCTGTAGCTATAAAAAAATATTGAGCCATAAATACCATCAGAAATAGCAAAGGGAGTTTTGAAGTATTCTAAGACTTGTAGGAGGGTGAAGTAAATACCTAATATAATTGTAATAAGTAGTGTTTGGATTGTATGTTTTTGATTATCTTTTTTAGGCTGTGATGGGCTCAAGTAATTGAAACTCCTGAAGCAAGTAATACAGATGGATTCAGGAGAGGTACTTCCAGGGGGTCAAGGGGAGAAATACCTGTTGGGGGTCAATGTCCTCCTAATTCTGGAGTAGGGACTAGGCTAGAATGGTAGAATGCTCAAAAGAATCCAGCGAAGAGAAAAATTTCTGAGATAATAAATAGTACTATCCCATATTGGAGGCCTTTTTGAACAGTTGTTGTATGGTAGCCCTGAAATGTACTTTCTCAGATACAGATCACCCTTGGTCAATTGAATACAGATCTATCACTTTAAGCTAAGTCCTTACTAAATTGATGAGACTTAAACCCACGAAAACTTAACAGCTAAACTCCCTAGTCAACTGGTTTGAATCTTCTTCTCCAGCCGCTGGGGGAAAAAAGGTGAGAGAAGCAGGATTGAAGCTGCTTCTTTGAATTTACAATTTAACATGAAAATCACCTCGGGACTCGTAAAAACAGGCCTTGACCTCTGTTTTTAGATGTACAGTCTAATGCCCTACTCAGTCATTTTACCCTTTTTTCTCACTTCATTTATGTTGGCTGACAGTTGACTATTCTCAACCAACCATAAAGATATCGGGACATTATATTTATTATTTGGCACATGAGCAGGGATAGTCAGTACAGCTTTAAGCCTTATTCGAGCTGAACTCTACTAGATGATCAAATTTATGTCATTGTTATAGCCTATGCATTTGTCATAATTTTCTTTATAGTAATACTATAATTGGAGGTCTTGGCAACTGATTAGTCCCTCTGATAATTGGCGCCCCCGCTATAGCATTTCTCTGCATAAATAATATGAGCTTCTTACTCCTCCCACCCTCCTTCCTATTATTACTTGCATCCACTATAGTAGAAGCTGGCACTGGAACCGGCTGAACAGTCTCTCCTCCCTTAGCAGGAAACCTAACACATGCAGGCGCCTCTGTAGATTTCACTATCTTTTCACTCCACTTGGCAGGTGTTTCTTCTGCTTCAGGGGCTATTAACTTTATTACCACAATTGTTAATATAAAACCCCCAGCCATGTCCCAATATCACACACCCCTCTTCATCTGATTAGTCCTAATTACAGCAGTTCTTCTACTCCTTTGTCTCCGAGTCCTAGCCGCCAGCATCACTATATTGTTAACTGACCGCAATCTTAATACTACTTTTTTCTACGTGGCTGGTGGAGGTGATCCTATCTTATATCAGCATTTATTCAGATTCTTTGGTCACCCTGAAGTCTACATCCTCATCCCACTGGGCTTTGGGATAATTTCCCACGTCGTAACATACTATTCTGGAAAAAAAGGACCGTTCAGGTATATGGGCCTAGTGTGAGCTATAGGATCAGTTGGGTTCTTACAGTTTATTGTATGGGCCCACCGTATATTTACGGTAGGGATAGATGTGGATACATGAGCCTGCTTCACCTCTGCTATTATAATTATTGCTATTCCTACTAGCGTCAAAGTTTTTAGCTGACTAGCTAGTTAAACTTCACGGCGGTAATATCAAATGATCCCCCGCAATGCTGTGAGCCCGGGGATTTATTTTCCTTTTTACAGTAAGAGGCCTAACTGGCGTTGTATTGGCCAAGGCTTATATTATGGTTCATTCGTATATTTAGAAACCTGAAAGTTTCTAAGTAAGTTGTAAAAAAGTTGTAAAAAAACCCCAGCTGAAATAACTACGAAGGTGCCTTTAATATTCTGAAGACAAAATAGCTAAGATCCAAACTGGGAGTAGATACCCCGCTATGCTTAACCCTAAACTCGAATAGTTAGATCAACAAAACTGTTCGCCAGAACACTACAAGCAACAGCTTAAAACTCAAAGGACTTGGCAGTGCTTTATATCCCTCTAAAGGAGCCTGTTCTATAATCGATAAACCCCAATTTACCTCACCACCTCTTGCCCAGCCTATATACCTCCATCTTCAGCAAACCCTGGAAAGGCCACAGAGTAAGCAGAAGTATCTACATAAAAACGTTAGGTCAAGGTGTAGCCCATGAGGTGGCAAGAAATGGGTACGTTTTCTACATCCAGAAAAATCTCGCGACAACCGTTATGAAATCTAAGGGCTCAAGGAGGATTTAGCAATAAATTGAGAGCAGAGTGTTTAATTGAATGAGGCCATGAAGCACGCACACACCGCCCTTCACCCTCCTCAAATATATTCTAGAAACTCGTTGTACACCCCCCTGTGATATTGTCCATAATATCCAGGGAGGGAGAGAATGATTTGATTTTTTTTTTTGAGACAGAGCCTCGCTCTGTCACCCAGGCTGGAGTGCAGTGGCCTGATCTTGCCTCACTGCAAGCTCCGCCTCCCAGGTTCACACCATTCTCCTGCCTCAGCCTCCCTAGTAGCTGGGACTACAGGCGCCCGCCACAACACCCGGCTAATTTTTTGTATTTTTAGTAGAGACGGGGTTTCACCATGTTAGCCAGGATGGTCTCGGTCTCCTGACCTCGTGATCCACCAGCCTCGGCTTCCCAAAGTGCTGGGATTACAGGTGTGAGCCACCGCACCTGGCCAGAGAGAATGATTTTACTCCCCATATCGCAGGGGATTTACATTCCCCTGCATTATTTTTCGTAATATCCAGGGGGAAGATGAAGATGTTACTCCCCATATAGCATGGGAGAACAATTCCCTGCAATATTGTTCATAATACTCTGGGGGGAGAGAATGATATTTCTCCTTTTATTGCAGGAAGTGTACACCCCCCTTGCGATATTGTTTATAATATCTAGTCGGTGAGAAGATGATGTTACTCCCCATATTGCAGGGGGTGTACAACCCCCTAGAATATTGTTTGTAATATCCACACGGGGAGGAGATGATGTTACTACCCATATCGCCAGGGGGTACTGCCCCCTGCCATATTGTTTGTAATATCAAGGCTGGGAAAGGATGATATTACTCCTTGTATCACAGGGGATGTACACCTCCCTGCGATGTAATATCCAGGGTGAGAGAGGAGTATATTACTCCCTATGAGGCAGAGTGTGTATACACCCCTCTGTGATATTGTTCATAATATCCACTGGGGGATATGATATTACTCCCAATATCATAAACACCTCATGTGTACACCGTCTGTGATATTGTTTGTAATATCCAGTGGGGGAGAGGATGATACTACTTTCCACATCGCAGGGGGTTTACACCCCTCTGTGATACAGTTTGTAATATCCAGATGGGGAGAGGGTTATATTACTCCTCATATCGCAGGACACGTACACCCCCCTGTGATATTGTTTGTAATATTGTTCCCAATATCATTTTCCCCCATGGATATAGGAACAGCATCGCATAGGACTTGTACACCCCCTGCCATATTGGGAGTAGTAGTGTTTTATCCCTTGCTGGACATTAGGAACAATACCATGGGGGGGTGCACAGCCCCTGTGATATTGACAGTAATATAATCCACTATCCCCTAAACATAGGAAAAATATCACAAGGGGGATGTACACACTTGGTGATATTGAAAGTGATATGATCCTCTCCCTACCTGGATATTAGGAGCAATATCACAGAAGGGTTGTACACTCCCTGCGATATTGACAGTAATATCCTCTCCCCCCCCGGATATTAGGAACAATATCACAGAAGAGGTGTACACCCACTGTGATATTGACAATTTCCTCTCCCCCCCTGGGGATATAAGGAACAATACCACGGGGGGGTGTACACCCCCTGTGATATTGACAGTAATATCATCCTCTCTCCCCCAGATATTAGTAACAATATCACCGAAGGGGTCTACACCCCCTGTGTTATTGACAGTAATATCATCTCCCCCCCCCATATATTAGGAACAATACCATGGGAGGATGTACACCCCCTGTGTCATTGACAGTAATATCAACCTCTCCCCCTCCCGGATATTAGGAAGAATACCACGGGGGGTGCACACCCCCTGTGATATTGGGAGTAATATCACCCACTATCCCCTAAATATTAGGAACAATATCACAAGGCGGGGAGAACACCCTCTGCGATATTGGGAGTAATGTCATCCTTTCCCTGCCCCTGCATACTAGGAATAATATCACAGGGGATGTACACCCCCATGCGCTATTGGGAGTAACATCACCCTTTCTTCCCATGGATATTAGAAACAATACCACAGAAGTGGTGTACACACGCTGCACTGTATAGAACAAAGCAGGCGGAGGAAGGTGGGATAACCTTGCTAGCTGAAGCTTCTGGCTCTCTTTTTTTCTTCTTCCCGTGCAGGAAACTTGCTTCCCTTCTTCCTGCCCTTGGACATGAGACTCCAGGTTCTTATGCGTTTGGACTCTGGGACTTGCACCAGTGGCTTCCCCGAGGCTCTCAGGCCCCCGGCCTCAGACTGAAGACTGCACTGCGGGCTTTCCTGGTTTTGAGGCTTTTGGACTTGGACTGAGCCACTACTAGCTTCTCTCTTTCCCTACCTGGCAGACAGCCTGTTGTGGGACTGCCTTCTAACCGTGTGAACCAATTCTCTCTGGTAAACTCCTTTATACATATACGTGTATCTTGTTGGTTCTGTCCCTCTGGAGAACCCTGACTAATACATTTTGTATATTTTTCCTCCACTGCCCTTTCCTCTGCTTCTAGGCTTACCTAGACCACCACCATTCTTTCCCCCTTTCTAAAGTAAAAGTTGTTTTTTTCTCACTGAATGCATGGTATTCTGCCCATTTTCCATGGCTTCCCTCAGCCCTGCTCTGTTTATTCTTGCTATCTTAAGAGGAAATCCCTGCCTCTTCCATGGCTTTTCCCACTTGGTCTACTTACTGGTTTCTGTTGTTCTCAGAGACACACTGAGACCTTTCACATCTCACTGTCACTTCTTGGAAGGGCTCTCTACCTCGTCTGCCTGCTGAGCAACCTCTTGGAGTGACGCGGGCACTCTTGAGTCACTGAACTTGAGCTATTTGGTGTTAGTATGTTAATTTATCTTCTTAGACCACTTACCACTTCCTTAACTTCAAAAGAAAAGAATAAGTATTATTTTCCATGGTTGATATGAAGAGTAGAAATAACTTATACAAAATACATTGCAGTTAAGTGATAATAAATGTCTGTGAATGCCCTTATTAATGTTATTCTATCAGTCTCAGCTCAGATACCATCTGCTCTGTGAGCTCTGCTCTGAATCATATCTGCTTCTTCTCTGGGTTCCTTGTGCTCTGTTCTTAACTACTTTAAAGCAGTAATTGTTCTGATTCTAATTAATGATCCTTCCCAATAAAATTTTAATTTTGTAGATCTCTTCCCCCCACCCCTGCCCCAGCCTAACCAGTGTTTTCTTACTTTTTTGTGTACAGGCTACATCACTGGTCTTCTTTTATTTGTGGCTAAATAAATGTTGTGTTAGAAGAGTAAAGAGTTCCCAGTTACATGGGATCTATAGTTCTACAAAATGAATGTATACATAATCCATGTAAATCCTTCACTTATTTTAAAACAACTTTTTAATTTTTAAATTAAATTTAATTTGTGCATGTGTGTGAGACCAGAGTGAGAACAGAGATGGCGGCGGTGAGGGGCAGTGGTCTCACCATGTTGCCCAGGCAAGTCTTGAACTCCCCTTCAAGTGCCACCCTCCTCACCTGGCCTCCCTCACCTTGCCTCTTCCCCTCTCACTCCTATGCCAGCTCCTGCCATTCCCCACCCCCTCTGTAGACTGCAAGACTCAACAAGTGACTTGCTGAGCAAACTCTGCTAAGAGATCTGTTTAGGGACACAGGAGGCCAAGTACACAAAAAAGCAAAAGAACTAGCATGCCTTTTTCAATGGATGTCTATTTTACAGGGCTGGCTTCAGATTATTATAGCTTTAAATAAAAGGACCGTTTTGTCATCTCGGCCCATGGCCTACATTATTTCTTTACTGTCCATTGCCCTGGGCGCTTGACTAATAATTTAACAGCAGTTTTTTTTTTTAATTTTAAATCATGATTCATTGCATTGCTGTAAGAGTAATTAGAGGTAAAGTAGGGCTGGAAACTGCCTGTAGTTGGTTACTTACTGAGATCTTAGCATCATTGTCAGGTGAGAGGGTGAAGTTTTAATTAGCGCTAAGTGGGATAGAAATTCAATGCACTGAAACTGCAGTGTCCAATTCAGTAGGTGCTAGCCACCTGTAACTGTTGAGCACTTGGAATCCTGGCTAGTCCTAATTGAGATGTGTTGTGTTAAATACACTGGATTTTGTCGTTGGAGTGGGAAGAACAGTGCAGAATATCTGCTTGACTTTTTTTATATTTATTACATGTTAAAATTATTACTATGATTACTATTTGGGACATACTGAGTTAGGTATATTTAAAATTAATTTCACCTTTTCTTTTAATGGGGCTTACTAGTACATTTAAAATTACATACGTGGCTCACATATTTATTGGACAGCACAGCTCTAGAAGTTTAGGAAGAAATAAGAAAAATATTGAGAATAGGTAGCGACAGTAGGAAGTTTGACCTCCTGTAAGACTGATTCCAATAAAACTAATAGGTGATAGTTTTAATTGGCTTTTTCCTACTAGAAGAAGTAAGTGTACTTTACATGCCTCTTTGTTCTCCCTCTTTCCCCTTCAATTTAGTGGTTAGCGTGTATTTACTACATCAGGCTTAATATTCACTAAACAGTGTTAAGAAGACTTAGGTAAATGATTCCCTGATGAACACACTTGATATTCAAAGCACTTTCCTAACCCATTTTTAATTGGAATAGAGTCAAATGTAGACGGCTTATTAGTAGTCATCTCATTTAAATCTCATGGAATTTTCCTACTAAATCTCAAAGTAAACAATTTGTTATAGGCTGTTTTGTCAAGTGTATGGAAGGGACAGCATAGGACATGTGGTACTTCATTTCCAAATTGCTTGAGATGGTTTTCATTATAATCATACATTATTTGCTTCTGGTTTTCCAGAAAAGCCAGCTAAACCTGTGGTTCATTTAGATATAAATGAAATATCCACAAAGGATTGCTCAAAGTGACTTATGCAACTTGAATATATATTTTTTCTGTAGGGTGTTTATTCCAAATTATCTGGCCATTTGCTGCAATTTGCAGTTTTTTAGAAAACACCAAATATTTCTCAAGTTAGAGATGTTTTAATAAAAACAGTCATATTGTACTGGCAGCAGACAAATAAAATGGCCCTTTATTTCACAGTTGAGAATTTGAAATTGGAAGGTAATTAACATATGTAAGGATGACGTATTTGCTGCCTGGCTTATAGGAATGAGCCAAGTTGTTTTTTGAGGTATGTTGTTGCTGTGTATGTCCCACCTATTTTGCTTCCTTAATGAACAATGCAAGTTTGAGACAGAAATATTTGAGAACATTTTTATCAGTTGTGACATTTTGATAGTGAACATTTTATATCTTCTGTCAACTTAAAATGTTTGCATCTTCTGTCAGCTTAAAATGTTTAATTTGTTATAGCCAAATAATTTGGCTATAATTGATAATTTAATTTATCAAATTAAATTGCTTTTTTCCCTTTAGACTTTCTTCAGTCACATCTGAATAAATCCCTTAGAAGTAAGCTAGATGTAATATAATGAAATGCTTAAAAGGGCTGTGTATCTTCATATTACACTTACAATGATTTTCTCTTGTGCCCATTATATTCTACCTGCAGCTAGTTGAGGTAAAGAGAGGGCATTTAACTGTCAAGGGAACCTGTGAGGAGACTGTAGAAATCTGGAAAGTCTCTTGGGTCTTTGAGGGATTTTGGGATGCAGAGAGTGGGGCTGGGATCTCTGGCTAGGTTGGAGCCAGCGTGCATTTGTATCTTTATCTTGGAAGCAAACTTAGAATGCAGAGATAGATGTGGCCTGGATGCTGCTAACTCTAGCCAACCACTAAATCTTAAGGTGGGAGAGATGGAGCCTTTGGCTGGGTGCTAAGCTGCTGTAGCTGGTTGAATGTAGAGGTCACTATCTTTTCTGAATATTTGTAAGTAAATTAAATCATTCTTTACTCCTGTATGCCTGCCAACCAAATGGGAAATCGCTATAGAAAAGATGGTTTAAATTTTAGTCTTTGAAGTGGTTTATGCACGTTTCTGGAATCAAGATTTAACGCGGACTTGGATTGGATATTGAATATTTTTGATTTGTCTACTTTTCTCTCCATAGGGAGCTTATAGCTTCATTGCACTGTGTGTGGCATTTGGGTCCTGTTTGACAGCAATGACTGCCTTTCTGTTTAGTGTCTGTGTGCTATGAAGATTGCACACAGGGGTCCAGATGCATCCTGTTTTGAGAATGTTAATGGATACACCAGCTGCTGCTTTGGATTTCACCCATTGGTGGTAGTTGACCCGCTGTTTGGAATGCAGACAATTTAAGTGAAGACATATCCATATATGTGGCTCTGTTACAATGGTGAAATCTACAACCATAAGAAGGTAGGGGAAAAGAAGCCAGATGTGTGGATGTGATTAAACTTCAGAGCTTGTTGGTTACGATGACATTATATATTCTGTATCTTGCTTTTTACTTTGCAAAGCATTCTATGTTATCTCATTTGCTCTAAGTATGTAGATAGGGAACTGATGAATAAAATGGTGAGTTAAATCACTTGGTCACAAAAAAGTGATAAAAATGGGGATTACACAGTTTCTTTGACTCTTAGAATTTTTTCTCCTTCTCCCCAGCTTTTTGTTTTGAAAAAAATTCTAACATACAGAAAAGAACAGAATAGTGAGCACCTAGATTGAATAATCATTAATGTTTTGCCATATTTGCTTGATTTTTCTTTCTACACACACACACACACAGTTTTTTGCCAAATCATTTGAGAGTATGGTGCAGATTTTGTGACACTCCTAAATATATAAGCATTTATCTCCTAAGAATAAGGACATTTTTCTACATAACATCAATATCATTATTAAACCTAAGAATCCATAATATCACCTGGCTGGGTGCGGTGGCTCAAGCCTGTAATCCCAGCACTTTGGGAGGCTGAGGTGGGTGGATCACGAGGTCAGGAGGTTGAAACCATGCTGGCTAGCACGGAGAAACCCCATCTCCACTAAAAATACAAAAATAAAAAAATCAGCCAGGCGTGGTGGTGGACACCTGTAGTCCCAGCTACTCGGGAGGCTGAGGCAGGAGAATGGTGTGAACCTGGGAGGTGGAGCTTGCAGTGTGTTAAGCTTCAGCCACTGTACTCCAGCCTGGGAGACAGAGCAAGACTCTGTCTCAAAAAAGAAAAAAAAATCATAATGCTACCTAATATCCAGTTAATACTTAAATTTCGCTAAGTGTCTGGAGAATTTTTTTTTTTTTTTGAGACAGAGTCTCAACTTTGTCACCCAGGCTGGAGTGCAGTGTTGCGATCTCGGCTCACTGCAACCTCTGCCTCCTGGGTTCAAGCGATTCTCCTTCTTCAGCCTCCTGAGTAGCTGGGACGACAGGCCCACCTGTCACCATGCCTGGCTAATTTTTTGTATTTTAGTAAAGACTGGGCCCAGGGTGGTCTGGAACTCCTGAGCTCAGGGAATCTACTCACCTTGGCCCCTCAAAGTGCTACCAAGAATATCTTTATAGCTGGTATTTGTTTGTTTAGAGCCAGATTTCATTCAATATTCATGCATTTGGTTGTGATGTTTCTTGGTATTTTTTCTGAGACTTCTTGATAGATACCTGTCAGGCACTGATAGAGAGTTATATCCTAACCATGTTTTGGACATTTTTATCTCTGAATAATAGCTTTTGTCATTGTTTGTTGCCTGCTCATGGGAACACTCTTAATAATAGTCTTCTTGTTCAAAAAGTTTTAAAATAGTTATTCAAGAAATTCCTTTCCCACATTTCTTTATTCCTTTATTAAGGGCCTAATATGAACCAGACATCATTTTTCTAGGTGATTGTAGATGAAATGGTGAAAAGGAAAGGCAAGAATGGAATTTCCTGCTAGTGGGAAGTAGAAGAGAGTATTAAAACTTTTTTCTTTCTAAGTCAAATCAGTGTCATATGCATGAGAAAGCTAGGTAGTATGATGGCATTATCAGCTTGGCTTTCTCCTTAAATGAAATAGGAAGTGCTCTGTTTTACTCAGATAGTGTTTTTTTTTCTAAAAAGCTAAAATAAGTTAAATATTTTGAAATTAATTAATTTCTGTTCTAAATTAGTCAAAAGTTATATTTGTAAAACTAGAGAAGTTTGTTCCATTGCTTCTACCAAGCATCTCAGCTTATGTAGTTGGGGCAGCTAGAAATCTAATGAACAGAATGCATATTTTAGGCTTATATAAAGTATTCTGCAACATAAGGTCAAAAATACCCCCTACCCCCTTTTTGATAAAAATAAAGCTTACTACTAATAATAAAATACAGCCAGAGGTGTGCTGGGAGTGGAGGGGGGCTGAGTGAAAGAAAGTAGGAATGGGGTAAAGGCTGGGGCAAAGAGCAGACTCTCTCCCTGCAGGGGAGTATCAGGGGTCTGCAGCCAAGTTAAATGACAGCATGACTTCAGGAGGCCAGATTTGAGGGCTTTTATCTAAGATGCAGCATCGGAGTTTGGTTTAAGAGAGTAGGAAGTGATACATTTGTTACTCAAAGGACACTTCTCTTTTTTGAATAAATTACCTGCAGAGTTTAGGCCAAAGAGGTGGGCAAGGTAGATTTGGGAAACTGTTGCTTGCTAATATCACCAAACGCTTTCTTTTTATACTTGGTGGAGGCTTTAATTGGGGCAAGGACATTTTTATACAAAGATAGAGAAAACAATCACCTATGGAATTTGATTCCTTGCTCCATGCCCTCACTAGCACCTCTCAACATGCTTGATGATATTTAAAATTTCTTCATAGGGAAAAAACTTTTCATCCCACAATTAGAATCAGGCTTAACTTGCTTTTTGAAAAGGTAGTATGCAATTTGTGTTAAGATCTAAATTACCAAGATTTTTATATCTTGAAACAGATTTAGATGATAGAGTGAGGTCGGTGGTGGTGGTTGGTGGGAAGGGGTAGTTTTTTAGAGAGGGTATTAAGAGTTGGGCTTTTCAATGTGAGAGAGGTGAAGGTTTGAAAATAAGTAAGAAAAGCACTAAAAGGGTGAAGTCAAGGGCCTCAGAGAGCCAGGATGATAGATTCTATTTCACAGTTTAACACAGGATCACCATAGACCAAAGCAAGTTTATAACTAAGGCAATGAAGATCATCTGTCTCCTCCCTTCCCCATTAATTGTGAACTTTAGTTTTATAAGCTCCTAAGAGGCAGAAAACAAATTGGAGACTCGTCATCTATTTGGGAGTGTATGGCATGTATTTATTGTCCTAGGTGCTGGGTTTATTTTTTTCAGCTAATGACAGTTTTCCATGCTTTATGGTAAGTGACCATAAAGTAAGTGGTAAGTGACTTACCCTTCAGGCAGTTCAGCCCAGGACAGTCAGCAGAAGACTGTTTCCAGATCCCACCTGCTAGTTACAGATCATCCCTGATAGAGCAGAGAGGGGTGACCAGGTAGTGACTTTATAGTCACTGGAGGCAAAACCCATTTTTGGACAGTTCATTGAGGGCTTACAGACAAAAGGTTCACAAATTATGCAGTGAGCTGGATGGAGTGTGAAGTGTATTTATGGGTCGTGCACATACATAATAGGTTTACTTTTTGAGATTTGAAAACATGTTTTAACCTTAACATAGGATTCCCACCTGATTTAAACCTCTTATTTCTCTAATGTCAGACAAAAATGTGAGTATGACATACAAAGAGAAATACATCAAGGACTTTTCATCCTCATAGTTTGCCAGTGATGGTGGAGAGTGTCAGAATTGGGGAGTAGCCTAATCAAACCTTCTTGCTCTGCATGCAGTGGCAGACAGTCCCTTTGCTGTTCCTTTGGGGCATGCAGACTAATAAAGTGCCACCATCATTTTATCTCTCAGTGAGTAGTTTTAATGCTACTGCAGTGGTGGGAGCACTGGGTGTTGTCGTCCACACCTGAGGACAAGCAGCTTTGTTTTGGATCATGTATCTGTTATTGTGATGTAGCCATTTATTTTTCAGGGAATGATGCCAAATGATGTTTGTCCCTTTGCTTTACATTTTTATAGCTAGGTCTTTGAAGCTGAACTGGAGGAACTTCTTAGCCAATACTGTCTTCTCAAACCAAAAGTTGACAGTTGCAGAAGACACATTTTTTAGTGTCATGGCAACCAAGCAACATATTACCTTAAATTAAATTTAGAGGTTGAGCATCCCTAATCTGAAAATCTGAAATTTGAAATGCTTCAAAATCTGAAACTTTTTGAGCACTGACATGACACCACATGTGGATTTTGATGTCCCAGTCGAAGTGCAGGTGTACAACACACAGTTTATTTGATGTTCTCTTGTGAAAAAAGACCCTCTCATCCCCCTTCAGCTGCAGTATAAATTTTCTATACATGCTCAGATTTCCCCAAGCAAGCACACACACAAAGGGTCACAGAATGGCACATGTGCAAGCTGGACACGCCAATGGCAGGATCCCCACAGATGGGACCTAAGTGCATTACCCATTGTGTATTTTTGCTTATTCTCTGCTCTGTGGTGTTAACATACTGAAAATGTCAATAAGGCCTCTAGATATCCCTGCGAGCAGCAATGATAAGGAAAAGTAGAAACTCTTAGAACACAAAAAGTCAAGCTGTTGGAGAAATTGGACTGTAGTGTAAAGGTATAGATGACATGGTGAAAATGTGTGATAGAGATATTGAAGATATTGAAGGACTAGAGCTACCTGCATTCATAACAGAATAAGAGGTCATGTCAGTTTATAAAATTAAAGAGAGACTTCCAAGACAAAAGCCCTTGATAATGAGGCAGATGACTCTGGAGAAACATTATAAAAAGCCATCTGGCAGAATGCCTCCTCAGCCTCAGAGGACTCACCTCCTAGTTGCTCAACTCCTGATATTTCTTCTCACCTAAAAAAAGAAAAAAAATACAATATACAGTAACCTTTTAATCAAAACGCAGCCTTGTAGGTGGAGCCTGAAATCTTGCCATTGTTTATACAGCTGTTTAACAGCTGATGCAGGTATTCTGGTGATGCTACTGTGTTGCTTATTACTTTTTACTGTATTAATGGCATGTCATATTTTTACTTATGTTTGAATAATTGTGTGAAAATGATTGCTCATCAGTAGCATATAAATTCAGAGTCAGAAATGATGGTCAGTGACGTCAAACAGCCACAGATTTTCCACATGGAAGCTGAGATAGTGACACCTTTGCTTTCTGATGGTTCCATGTACACAAACTTTGTTTCATTCACAAAATTATTTGAAATATTATATAAAATTACCTTTAGGCTATGTGTATAAGATATATGAAACATAAGTGAATTTCACGTTTAGACTTGGGTCTCATCCCCAAGATATCTCACGTAGATGCAAATATTATAAAATCCAAAAAAAAATTCCGAAACCCTAAACACTTCTGGTTCCAAACATTTCAGATAAGGGATACTCAATCTGCATATATAAAATATTTATGTATCACATACATAGTATGTATATAATATGAATTTCCATTCCTCTACAGGTTACTATTCTGGTACATTCCCGTTATATTCTGTTTATCAGACTGCAACTAAAACTTTCATGGGTTCAGCTTTATGTTGAACAGAATTTGCAGAATTATGAGTTGAAGCAAACCCTAGTTTGATAATGCTATGATTCTCCTAAATCACCAAAGTGCATGAAATGATTTTAAAGCTCCAGAAATACTGAAGCAACTTTGTGATAAAAAATTATTAGTGGATGCACAAGGAGTCTATAACGTTTTGGGTTTGCTATTGCTTCCTAAGGTGCAGCACCGTTTTGAATTTGAATACCAGACCAAAGTGGATGGTGACATAATCCTTCATCTTTATGACAAAGGAGGAATTGAGCAAACAATTTGTATATTGGATAGTGTGTTTGCATTTGTTTTACTGGATTCTGCCAATAAGAAAGTGTCCCTGGACAGAGATACATAAAGAGTCAGACCTTTGTTTAAAGCAGTGACAGAAGATGGATTTTTGGCTGTGTGTTCAGAAGCTAAAGGTAATAGTAAATTTATGTATAGATTTTCATTATTGTCTTGGTCATGTGTTTTCTTTTAAATTATATCTGAAAATCTCTTAGCAATCTAGAATTTTACAAGTGACTAATTAAGTTGTGAGTTCTTACCTTTTTAAAAAAAACAGAGTGGTTTTACTCTCCTTTTCAGCACTTAAATTCTGTAATCCTTGAAGGATGGGTCTTTAGTGTAGTCATTTATTTTTGGTGTGCTAATATGCTCTGCATATAGCTTGATCGTAAGTGCAGTTTTAAGTTTTCCTGTGTCATACTGTAATGATAGGGTTGGCTCTGCAATTATTGCCCTGCGGTACTTTGCTGAAGTTATAGCACAGCAAATATTAGGATTTCTAAAACAGCTTTATTGGCAGTTCACATGCCATGTAATTCACCCACTCGAAGTATATAGTTCAGTGGTTTTTAGTATATTCACAGATGTTGGGAACCAACACTCCAATCAATTTTAGAATTGTTTTTCCACCTCAAACAAAAATCCTATGCCCTTTAGCTTATTTTCTTTCTATTTATTTATTTATTTATTTATTTATTTATTTATTTATTTATTTTAAGAGATGGGGTCTTGCTCAGTCGAGCAGCCCAGGCTGCAGTACAGTGGTGTAATCATAGCTTAGTGCAGCCTTGAACTCCTGGGCTCAAGCAATCCTCCCATCTCAGCCTCCCTAGTAGCTAGGAGTACAGGCATGGACCACAACACCCTGCCTCCTGTGCCATTTAGCTTTCAATTCTGTCTCTCCACATACATCATCTGCACCCCCGCAGTTGTAGCACTGGCAATCACCAATCTTTCTGCCTCTGGATTCCCTATTGCGTGTGTTTCATATAAATGGGATTATCTATCATATGGGCTTTTGTTACTGGATTCTTTCACTTGGCATAATGCTTGCAAGGTTTGTCTATGCTGTGACATGTATCAGTACTTACTTTTTATGGCCACATGATACTCTGTTACATGGATACACTGGATTTTGTTTATACACTTGTCAGTTGATAGATATTTAGGACATTGTTTTCCCCTTTTGGTTATTATGAATAATGCTGCTATAAACATTGGTGTACAGGTTTTTGTGTAGACATTTCTCTTCGGTGTTTATCTAGGAGCAGAATTGCTTGGATGCATGATAACTGTCTAATTGAGGAACTGCCAAACTACTTTTTGAAATGGCTGCATTATTTTTTTTTCCCTCCATCAGTGTACTAAAATTTCAGTTTCTCCACATCTTCACAAACACTTACTGTGTGACTTTTTAATTGTAGCCATTATAATGTATGTGAAATTGTATCTCCTTGTGGTTTTGATTTGTATTTTCCTATTGAAGGTAATGTCCAGTGTCTTTTCTCATGCTTATTGGCCATGTGTATATCTTCTTTGGGGAAATATTTGTTGAGATCTTTTGTCATTTTTTTCCTGCTAGGGATCATTTTATTTTAAAAACAATAGACTTTTTTTTAGCAGTTTTAGAAAAAATAGAGAGAAAAGTGCAGAGAGTCCACATATGCTCCCCTACAGTGCCCCCGCCCAGTTTTCCTGACTCTTAACACCTTGCGCTACTGTGCTAAATTGATTAGATTTGATGAACTGATACTTATATCTGAAGTTCATAGTTTACTTCAGGGTTCACTCTGTGTTTTATAGATGTTTGGATTTGACAAATGTATAATGTCATGTACCCACCATTACAGTATTATGTAGAACAGTTTCATTGCCCTAAAAATCTCCTGTGCTCCACTGAGTCATTCCTCCCCCTCCTCTTCCTCCCAAACCCCCGGTCATTACTGATCTTTTTACTCTCTAATTTTGCCTCTCCCAGAATGTCATATAATAGATCATGTAGTATGTATCCTTTTCAGACTGGCTTCTTTCACCCAGCAGTATACATTTAGGGTTCTTCTGTGTTTTTTCATGGCTTGATAGCTCATTTTTTAAATTGCAGAATAATATTCCATTTGTTTGCATGTATTGAAGTTTGTTTATCCATTCTTGAATTATCTATCTCTAATTGGGTTGTTTTGTCTTTTTATTACAGAATTGTAATTGTTCCTTATGTATGCCAGACACAAATCCCTTGTGTTCATCAGGGTTGCAGGATTCAAGATCAATATACAAAAATCAATAGTATTTGACACACTTTAACTGAATACTACATACTCACAATGAGCAATCAGAAAATGAAATTAAGAAAGCAACTTTATTTATCATAGCATCAACAAGAATAAAATACTGATACATTTAAGAAGTGTAAAACTTGTACTCTGAAAACTATAAAACATTGTTGAAAGAAATGAAAGAAGATCTAAATAAATGTAAAAGTATCCCATGATCATGGACCTAAGGCTTAACATTGTTAAGAAGGCAGTACTCCCTAAACTCATCTACAGATTTAACTTCATCCCTGTCAGAATCCCAGATGAGTTCTCTGTAAAATCGGCAAGCTGACTCTGAAATTCATATGGAATTGCAAGGGACTAAGAATAGCCAAAATAATCTTTTGAAAATGAGAAACAAAGTAGAAGAACTCATACTTACTGACTTTAAAACTTACTACAAGACAATGGTAATCAGGACAATATAATACTGGCAGAAGGATAGATGTATAGACCAGTGGGATAGAATTGAGAGTCAGATATGAACCCATACATATATAACCACTGCTTTTGACAAGAGTGCCAAGATTATTCAGTGGGGAAAGAAGTTTGAGAACTGGCACAAGGACAACTAGATATGTAAACATATGCAAAACCTGGAGTAGGACCTTTACCCAACACCATATACAAAAACTATGGGTGCAAAGTAATTGGATCAAATGGATCCATTTTGAGCTAATCCACATAAATGTAAGGACTAAAACTATAAAATCCTGAGAAACAAACATAGAAGTAAATTGTCATGACCTTGAATTTGGCAAAGTTTTCTTAAATATGAGACCAGCAACAGGAATAAAAATTGATGAACTAGACTTCATCAAAATTAAACATTTTTGCACTTCAAAGGACACCATCAAGAAAGTGAAAAGACAACTCACAAGATGGAAGAAAATACTTGTAAATCATGTGTAGCACTTTTTGATGATAAACTTGAGGAAGACTTTTTTATTTTTTATTTTTATTATACTTTAAGTTCTAGGGTACATGTGCACAATGTGCAGGTTTGTTGCATATGTATACATGTGCCATGTTGGTGTGCCGCACCCATTATCTCATCATTTACATTAGGTATATCTCCTAATGCTATCCCTCCTCCCTCCCCCCACCCCATGACAGGCCCCGGTGTGTGATGTTCCCCATCCTGTGTCCGAGTGTTCTCATTGTTCAATTTCCACCTATGAGTGAGAACATATGGTGTTTGGTTTTCTGTCCTTGCGATAGTTTGCTCAGAATGATGGTTTCCATATATATATATATATATATATATATATATATATATATATATATAGTCAGTTGCCAGGACTGCTGGGCAAGCCTGGGAAAGAGAGTACCTGGGGAAAGCAGCCTCCTGCTCCCCCGTGCCTTCTTTGAGCCTGATGTTCATTTGATGTGGTACTATATAATCACATCCAGTTTACCCTTTGAAAAATCCTTGATTTTTCTTTTCTATATCCTTGACACTGTCATTTTACAGACCACATAATCTTATCTGGAATACTACAACAGTTTTCTTTTCTCAGTGCTTTTAGAATAACCTGTCAAAAACTCATCTGACTATAGTAGTACCTGCTTACAACCTTTTAATTACTCCCCATTCCCTACCAGGCTGTGTAACTCACTTGAGCTCTGCTAGGTGGTGAGGGAATCTGGGTCCTTTTTCTGGTATTTAAATTCAGTGCTACGTAGGTTACTGGCTGGGTTGAAAATCTCAAATTGTAAATCATGAGTATATATGTAGATAGTCTGTCACGATTTACAATAAAACATTGACATGTCAGAGATCATGGTGATGTGAGGTTGGGTACTGTCTGTGAGAATTAATTGAGGAAATTTAAATTATATGGTTTTATTTACATAGAGTGTATAACAACTAGTTAAGGGATAGATGTCTTCTTATCTGACTTTCAAGTATCTAAGAGTGGATTATTGTGCTTGTTAAAGTTCTGGGAACCATGGATATTTTCTGAAAATACCTCAGTGATGACAAATGAATGACTACCAGCCTCTCATAACATTAGGACTCCAGTTCATCCCTTTGCTTCATAAGTGTGTCTTTTCCTTTTGTATATATTTGCTTTAGTGTAGAAAATAGGTTTTCTTGATTAGAAATCTAAAAAGAATAAATTGAAAACTGGAGATTTTTCTATTGCTTTGGATTACCAAAATTAATGTAATTTGGCAGTATATCCCTGTGCCATTATTGTCTCTCTGGTAAGTAGATGGTAGGGTTTTGGGTGATTAAATTTTTTTTTCCTATTTTGCTTATTTAATGGGCATGTGTTTGTATTAAAAAGGGGAAAATACATAGGAATGTAGAAGATGTTAACTAATCGTGAAAGTTATTGGGAAGGGTTACCTAATTTAAAAGTTGGCCAGCCATGGCAACACTGCCTGTAGTCCCAGCTGTGGGGGAGGCTGAGGCAAGAGGATGGCTTGAGTTTAGAGGATGGAGGTTACAGTGAGCTATGATTGTGCCACTGTACTTCAGCCTGAGGGACAGAGCCAGACCCTGTCTCAGAAAAACCTAGAACAACAACAAACAGAGAGAGGAGCCTGGACGGACTGAGCAATATTAGTGTCCAGGAGCTGCTGTAGTGATGGCTTACAACATCAGGAATTTATTCTCTCACCGTTCTGGAGGCCACAAGTCCAAAATCAAGGTGTGGGCAGAAATGCACTCCCTCTGCAGACTCTTGGGGAGGATTCTTGTTTCTTCCAGCTCTGCGACTGTGGTGCCTGCAGCCATTGGAACCAGCTCTGCACGGCTCAGACCTGGGTGATGAGGACACAGCTTTGCAGGTGGGCAGCCACATCCCTAAGGGGAGACTGTGGGCCTGTGGCAGGGTAGGGGCAAGCAGGGCAGGGGCTCCCCATTGTTGCCCCTGAGCTCCTGGGGCTTGTGGAGAAAGACAGGTGGATGCACACATACTGCAGCTCCCTGGATCTGAGCCTTGGTTTCCCTACCTGTGAAATGGGCACCCAAGGCAGCTCAGAAGTGTCTGGGAGCATCCCCTGTGGGGGAAGGTGTGGGGGGCTGCTGGGCCACAGTCATGGGGAACCCCAGTCCCCCTCTCCATGTGCTTCCTTCAATGCTCCCTGATGCCAGAAGACCTGCCCCTGAACAGAGAGGGGCATTCTTGTGAGTTCCTTGTGTGGGGGTTTGGTCACAGAGACTCCCCAAGTGCAGGGCAGGGTGGAGGGAGGCTAAAGGGTGGTTGAATGGACAGGAGAAGAGCTCTCTCCAGTCCCTCGGGTCTGGGTGGCCTGGGGAGCATCCATTTGGGCAGGCAGCTGGCGTGGCTGGTGGCTGAGCCACTGTGGCTCGGGGACTCCAGGTGTCTCCTGGACAGAAAGAGCCCTGGTCACTCATGGCTGCAGCATAGCCATGGCGACAGGAAAGTGCTGCTGTACATTGTGCTCCTGGGGCTGGCTCCCAATGGACACCCAATGGCATCTCCCCCACTGTACTCTGGGATGCTGGCAGGGGTGATGGGCACTGGGGTAAGAGCCTTGGCAAGCCCTTCGCTCCCTGGGTGTGAGACCTTGGGCTCCTGGATGCCTGGGTTTCTGTGTCCTATTTTTCCCATGGAAGATGTTTGGGGTGCTCCCACGAAATGGGGAGGGCCCTGGGGGGTCAGGATTGTATTATTAAAGCCAGAAAGTCTGGGGTTCCATTTTTAGCACAAGGCAGGCAGCCCATGAGCCACAGCCCAGTGGCCAGCCTGTGTGGGAGGGGAGTGGGGGTCTGAAGGAGTGAGGATCCTGTTACCGCAGGCTCCACTGCAGCCCCCCAGGGTGGCCGTGTGGGCTGGACAGTGGGCACTGCACCAGGGGCTCTGGTGCCGACCTTGAGCCATGCATCTGATGCCTGTGAGAGTGATCTCTAGGAGCCACTGCACAGGGGGCAGATGAGGGAACCCAGACATGAGACAGCTGAGGGCGACCCCAACACGGAGGGGGCAGCTGTGTCCAGGCTCCACTGGATTCCGCAGAGGACAGAACACAGCTCTGACTCTAGGATGTGGGCTCACTGAGGGTCAGGACAGGCTGGGGTTGGGAGAGGGCTATGCTGCAGCTGGGCCACATCCCACCTGCACCCCTCAGATGGCAGGGCCTGGACGTCCCCATCCCCACCCTGACCCGGTCAGTAACAGCCACAGGCCAGCAGCCCCCAGCAACCGCTCCCTCCCTGAACTGCCGGGGACAGGAGGTACCATAGTCTCTTCTAGGCGAGAGCTGCTGGAGCCTTCTTTATTCTTGTGCTAGAAGCCCAGGGTGGGGAGAGGAGCCTGAGAACAGCCCAGTGTGGGCATCCACCTTCCTGCCCACTTTGGAGGTCTGAATCACCTCCGGCCACTCTCCCAATCCCCAGGAGCCAAGAGGCTTCCTGGAGCAAGCCGCACCTGATCTCCACCATGGGTAGGAGTTCAAGGCCAGGTCAACGGGGACTCCACAGAGGGGCCTGTGGGTTAGCAGCAGCTGCCAGTGTCCAGATGGCCTCAGGGGTGGGGGTTGGACAATCTGGAGGTCAGCAGGGAATTCAGCATGAGGAGACAGCCCTTAGGGTTCTGGCCCAGCAGCCCCAGGTGCTGGCTCTGCACTGAGTCATGAAGTTTGTGGGCCAGGGGCGTTGGCCTCTCTCTAGCTGGAAGTGACTTCCATCACTGCTGTCATTAGCCTCCCCTGCATCAACCTGTCCCTGGGGTGGGAGCACAGTGGGCACAGGGACCGTCAAGCCTCAGTTTTCCCTGCTGTAAAATGCATGTGATAGTGAGGCGGTCATGAGGCCTGAAGGAGTTAAAACCTGCCTTGTGATCAGGATGGCACCTAGCTCGGTGCCTCCTAGCCTGGTGCCACCATCCGGCATCAGAGATGAAATACGTCTCCCAGGCCCCCTCCCCTGGCATCCTCCACACTCAGCTCTCCATCAGCCACACCCTCCAGGGTGGGACAAGGAGGTCCTGAGACTGATGGGGACCCGACAGGGCTGGGCAGCACCACCTGGGCCTAGGCGATAATGGGAGCCTGAGTGTGGGGCCTGCAGGGAGGGAGCCATTGTTTCTTGGGCTTCTTAGTGGCTACTTCCCTAAAGTCTGGGAGAAGCACTGCTGCTCAAGAGGGGACAGTGCCAGCAGCTCCCTCTGAGGCTGGGGTGGGCACAGCATAGGGTGTCCTCACCCCCACCCACCTCCCATGGAGGTTCCTGGCTCTCTTGGAGGACTCCTCGCTACTGTGCTGAGGCTGGCACCAGGGCTGACCAGGCCCAGGATGGTGTTGGACCACCTGCATCCCCCTGCAGCAGGCAGGGAGGGCACTGCAGACACCACCCTCCCACAGCTGACCCCTCCCTGGCCATTGTGTCTAGGGTGGCAGGGTGTGAAGCCCCCACCCAACAACCTCCCTCAGCTCAGGGGCCTTTGTGTTCACCACCATCTGCCTCACTGCAGGTTTTCCCTGTGCTGGGTGGGGGTGATTGCAGGGAGATGGTTCTTTGGTATTCCCTGGGCAGGTCATTGCCTCAGCCCCTGCCTGGTGTCCTGGAACAGCTTTGAGGAGCTACATGGACAGGACACCAACTGTCTGCAGCCCCCAGGTGAGGCTTGGCTGCTGTGTCCCACTGCCTCTGCTCCTGGCTGTCAAAACCCCATGGTAACAGCATCCAGGGCGAATTTAAATGGCACCCCAAAGAATAAGAGTGGGCCTGGGTGTCACTGTAGTGACTGGTGGCTTGTGACAAGTAGTGTGGCTTCCGTGGTGATGGGAAATGACAGTTCCCCCTGAATCTGCACTGGAGAGAAGGTCCTGGAAGCTTTCGGGCCCACCCTCCAGGGTCTGGGTCTGCATCTCTGAGAGTGGCTGGGTGGGAAGAAGAATCCTCACTGCCTGGCAGTCGGGTTTGGAGCTGGGGAGGGCCGGGCCTGGTTAGCAACGAGCCTATCACAGTGAACCAGAGCTCAAGATAAAGCGAGAGGCCTAGCCCAGACACCTCCTTCCCTGGTCCCAGCCCCTGTGCCTTGGCCTGTGCGGTGGAAGCCAGGCTCCCTCCTCCAGGAAGTCTTCCCTGCACTGCCTGCTCACACACAGCCTCTCCCAGATTTCTCCCCATCCAGGCTGAGTAGGTTTCCCAAGAAGGCTCCTCCCCGAGCCAACTGCCTGCAGTCAACATTATCACCTCCCCCAGTGAACGGCAGTAGTGTTTTTCGTCTTCAGCAGTGGCCTCTGGAGGGGTCCTAGCAGGTCGGGGAGAGAGGTCTGAGTTAGCCCCACGTGAAAGGCAGCCCATGCCTCTTCTCCCAGCAACCCCCAGCAGCAATTTCCACCTGGCTGACCCCACCCAGCTCACAGAGCTGCCCAGCTGGTTGTCCTCGTGGTTGATTGGGGGGAAGGGGCTGTTACCTCCCGGTCCCCTCCAGGCTGAGACAAGAGCCCTGTGGGCCTGGATCTTGCAGATGGGACCCCCACCCACAGGCTCTCCAGGTGGATGCCCACCCTGGGCTGTTCTCAGGCCCCTCTCCCCACACTGGGCCCACACCCAGAAGGGAACTCCATGTACCCCTGCCGATCTGCCCATCTGCCCATCTGAGCCTCAGGGGTCCTGGGCACTGAGAGCTGGGCTGGGCTGAGCTCAGGTATACACTGTCATTGGGGACAGAGAGGGGATGCTGAAGTGGGTGCTTCTGCGTGGGGCCTGCCTGGAGGATCGCCACAGCAGGTGCACCCAGCAGCCAGACCAGCTTCTAGCAGAATAAGCGCACTGTCACAGGGGTATGTGAGCTGAGGCTGGGGGCCTGGAGGTGCAGGGGGAGGAGTTGGGGAGATGCAGAGGCCGCAAAGATGTCCCAAGGCCCTAAGACTCTGGTGAGGGAATGGAGGAGCCAGCACTGGTGGGGAAGTGAGGAGGGGGAGCTGGGTGGCCTGGCTCTGAGCGGGACACACGGTCTGCGCCCACACTTGAGCTGTGCTGTGGAGCCCCAGTCCCCACCTGGGCATGTCCTGTCCTCTGAAGCACAGGGATTCCTCATCCTCAGCTCTGACCCCTCATCTCCAACTGTTGGGATGATGAGTCCATAGGCAGAGCCAGCCTCACAGGGGACCCAAAGGCCAGTTCAGATGGACAGCAACTGGAGGTCCCACCGGGCACACACACACACTGTGCAGAAAGCTAATGCACTGTTTATTTGGGGGATTGGGGGGAAGCACCGTGCCGCTGCTCACTGGTAGCCAGCCAGCTGCAGGATGGTGGGGTAGCAAGTACGATGGGCCATGCACTTCTGGCGGTCGATGAAGAGACTGTTGGTCATGGCGGTAACGTCCTTCTCCAGGCTCATGTGGATGTCCTCGAGGTTGCAAAGGGACTGCTCCCCTTCTAGAAGCTTCTCCCGCAGCGCTGTGATGGACATGTTCAGCTCCTCCACCTCACTCACCAGCTTGGGGATGTTGGGGGGTGTGAGCTGGGGCTGGGGAGGGCAGAAGTATGCACCTACTGGGGTGCAGGGGACCCAAAACTCCCAATGGGAGCTGGCAGGAGGTCCTGGGAAGACGCCATGAAAGGATCCCACCAGGAAAGCGGCTCTAGGGCAGAGCATAAATTACGAGGGTCCTCCCAGGGAGCACGGTCCTGAGTGGGAATGAGTGACCTGCGTGCAATCTCGACCCTGGCAGAACAGGACTGGCCTCAGCCGACAAGGCTCAGTTCTTTCCATTCCTGATATTTGACGGAAGGAGGCACCCAGTTCCTTGAAGGAACTGAGGGGCAGGAAAGGAAGAAAGGTACTTAGGCTCAGAAGGGGCCACCAGGCATCCATTAACAAGGGAAACAAAAGGACGGCCCATCTATGCCTATAGCCCAGGCGTAGGTCATACTTTCCACCAGAGGTGGGGACAGCACCCTCAGGGCAGCAGGGAATGGCCCTCCCTGGCCTCTCTGGCCCCGTGGCCTCCAGGAGCTCACCTTGTCTGAAGGAGCTTCTTCCCGGGAAGACGAGGTAGCACAGGGTGGGGTGAGACCACGTGGGCACAGGTCCCTGGCACTGAGAGGCACCCGACCCATGACCTGCCCAGTGTCATGTCTATATCATCTGTGTGTTTAAGGTGTGCTTGCATGTTGCGTGTGGCCGCAAAGTCTCCCTCCCCTCTCAGCACCTGCGGGGGATGTGTGTGTGGAGATTGGAGTGTTTACTGGAAAGGGTCACAGCGAGGAGGTGGACGGGGGCAAGTGGGACTGCCTCAGAGGCCCAGGCAGCACCTGAACTGGGCTGCATTGCCACACAGCTCCATGTTGGGCCAGTGCAAGCGCAGGTACAGAAGGGTCTGGGCTATGTGCAGAGGTGCCTCCTTGTCCTTGATGGCCTCCTTCAGTGCCGCCACGTTGTTTCTGATCTGTGATTTCCCGCAGCATCTACAGACAGGACAGTGCCCCTTAGGCCTGTGCCCCCATGCCCGGGCATATCGAATGCGGAGACCAGGCTGGTCCTACCCAGGTCCTGGGGCTGTGTCCAGAGGGTGGTCCTGACCAGTGGCCCTGGGGAGGCGTGGATGAGGGGAACAATGTGCACGGGGCCCCCAGTGGGCTCTGGAGAGTCAGGCAGCCTGTTTTATCTTAGCTCTGGTCCAAGAACCCCCATCCTTGGTGGTCACCAGGACCCAAATCCTGCTCAAGGACTGGGGACTCAGAGGTGGTAAAGGCCATGCTGAGGCCCTAGAGTCAGAGCCCTGCCTGCCAGGCCAGGACTCTTGGGGACCTCCCGGTCGGTCAATGCTCCCGAGACCACCTCCTGCCTCCATCCTCCCCACAGCTCCTCCAGCTCAGTCATGGGGGTTGCAACACCCTGTGATCATACCCAGTGTCACCTGGTTTTACATAGGTTTACGGAGAGGTGACACTTGCTTCTGGGGTCCTTCGGGATAAGTGGGACAGAGGAGAAAGGTATTGAGGGCCCAGGCCATGTGATGAGAGGGGGCAGAGTGGTGGGCAGGAGTGGGAGCCATCTTCGGGGTTCAGGGTGCCCCACCTTGTGCAGGTGGTGCTGCAGCTTGTGCCGCGTGTCCTCCAGCTCCTCACAGCGGCGCCCGAAGGCCAGGTTCACAGCGTCACACTGGAGTCCCAGGTCCTCGGAGGTGTCGCGAAAGATGCAGTCCACCAGCACCCACAGGTTGGCCGAGTCCAGGTGCTCGCGCTGGGAGCGGCACAGATTGTCCTGCGTGAACTTGGTCCAGGTCTCCGGGGTGGAGGCGCTGCGGGGCAGGAGACAGCCAGGAGAGGGTCAGGGAGGCTCTGCCAAAGGCTGGGGGCCCTGCCGCGCCCCCATTCCCTGTCTGCACCCCATGCTCCTGGAGGAACTGCATGGACTCCAATGCACCCCGTGCAGACCCACGAAGCCCAGTCCCCCAAGCTCCCTGCCTCCGAGTGCCCCCCGCCCACAACTCCCCTGAGTCCACCCACACCCTACCCACCCCGGGCACTTAGTCCCCTCCTGCCCCCGCGACCCCGTTCCCAGCACCGCTGCCCCCGAGGCCCCCTCTGCAGCACCTCCGTCCCCCGCAGCCCCCCTTCCCTAGTACCCAGCGCCCGCGTCCGCTTCTCGCACCCAGGAGTTTGCCACGCTCAAGTGGGCGGTGGTCGCGCTCCCTCTGCTGGCCTTGGGTGGAAATGCAATCCTGCCGGCGCCTGGGCCTGACCCCACCCCACCCTGTCCTGTCTACAGGCAACCAGGCTGTGCACGCGCTGGGCACTTGAGGAGGTCTTGCTCGCTTACTCATGCCAGGGGCAGACAGTTGCCCAAGTGTCCTCGGGGGCGAGGGCCTCCGGGTCAGGCTGGGGGAAGCAGCGCCGCTGGGGCCCCCAGGCAGAGGGAGGCGAGACCACAGCCAGGGCAAGTGTGGGGGCAGAGCTGGGGCCCCCCTCTCTTGGAAGGTGGTGGAGTGCCGGATGAGCCTGCACCTCGGTGCTCTGGCTGTGGTGGCGCCCGCAGGTCTCGTCGAGGTTGTAGGCCTCCACCTTGTCCGACCAGTCCATCTCGCAGATCTCCGTGTGCTCCCGGTTCAGTCTGGGGCGGGGTGGGGCAGGGCCTTGGTGTGTGGCCGGGGAGGGCACCGCTGGGGATCCTCCATGCTGCAGGCTAGGCCTTCATGCCTGCTTCAGGAGGGAGCTGTGGGCCGGCTGTCCTCGTGCTCAGCAGTGACCAAGAGCTGCCGCCCATGCTGGGAGGCTGCAGATCAGATATGGCACTGGGCTTTGGTCACTCAAACTCAGGCTGGGCCAGAACCTCCCCCACCCAGCCCTGTGCTCCCACTGTGACCTGGGGCAGCCCCTGCCGGCTCTGAGCTTCAGGGTCCTGTCGTTCAATGCCTTGCCCCAGGACCAGCCGTGGGTGGGGTCAGGAGTCATCCCTTGGGCAGCCCTCGACCCACCGGATCTGGCTCACTGCTTGCACGATGGCTCTCTTCAGCAGCTCCTGAATGTTCCGGATGAGCTCAGCTTCCTGAGGGAGAAGACGCCCTGAGCACTAGAGCCGGTCCTTGGTAAGGATCCCAGGAGGCCCAGCTGCTGCAGGCCTTGGTCTACACCTGAGCAACCAGAAGGAGTTGAATGCCGGGCCTGAGCTCTGACTGTGCAAGTTCTGCTCTCTCACTGGGTTTATCTTGGGCTTTTGTGCATTCTCCTTGGTGCGTTGTAAGTGGGGTGTTTTCCTCCAGGGCCTTCTATGGGCTGCTGGGAAGGTCCCTCAGCGTCAGTTCCCACACCCCAGGCTTCAAGAGTCATCACTGCTGCTCACTCAGTGCACCCAGGAACGTTGGCCTGCCCCTGGCCTCTGGACAGCCCCTGAGGACCCAAACTCTGGGGGCCAAGATGCCCGCCCAGGCTGCCCCTCAGGGCTCTGTGTTGGGAAAGGCCATCCTCACACCAAGAACAGGAGGAAGACCCTGTGTTTCTTCTTACTGCCTGGCCAGTTTAATTTTCTGTGTGTAGGAACAAGCCTTTTTTCCATGTGATTGGGGTCTTTGCCTTGACCACCAGCTACCTTCTTGTGTGCCAGGGCCCGAGTCCTGCACCCTTCTGTCCCTGGGTTTGCCTCTTCCTGCACTGTCAGTGTCTCCATCACTTGGCAGGGGCCCTTGTTGCGGGCAGAGGGTTTGCGAGAGCTGAAGCAGTTATTGAGGCACTGAGAGGGTGCAGGGGGATGGGCCTGCAGAAGGGGAAGGGAGGGAGGAGGGAAGGCATGAGGGGAGGGAGGAACTCAAGGGTTATTGCCTGAGCTTGGGGGTATGGCAGGAGACCAGCTGCCCCCACCCCACATCTTTCACAAATGTCTACAGGCCTGTAGTGGTTCTCACGGAGGTCCCAGGCTCTGAGAGCTCAGGGAATTCTCCAGAGCCTGCATCAGGGCCAGGACTGAGTTACTCTCTCACCCTATGTGGTTGCCCCATAGACAAGCTGGGCTGGATTGGGAAGTTACAGGTGACATGGAGAAGGGGACCTGTGGGTGCAGATCTTCGTGTTCCCAGCTCTGTATAGGATGAATGGGAGCAGTGGCTCTCAGCCCACCCCACCCTACCTGTCCACACCCGCAGTGCTGGCCCAGACCTAGGTTTCCACCTCAGGAGCAACTGTCCCAACCAGGGAGCATCTCTGGGGAGCCCAGGGTCAGGATGACTGTGCCAGGACTCAAAGGGATTGGAGGAGGAGATGAGAAACAGGTGCTTAGAAGTCAGGGGCCTTCTGGGGCAAAACTGCCTCCTGTCACTAAGGGGCCAGATTTCGGGACTCAGGGGTCTCACGCACAGAGGGCTGGTCTCCTGTGTGCTTGCAGCAGCCACGTGGCTTGTCCACATGAACTGCCGGGGGCTCCTCCTCTCTGCACCCACAAATCCTGGCCACCCACGGCTGCTGGCACCTTCAGCAGCTCCGTCTCCACATGGTCGCGCATGAGGTTAGCGTTCTGGTGGCCCTGGCTGCACTGCAGGTTGTCAGTGGCGATGGAGAAGGGCGCCTCCGTGGCATCCAGGGCGTGCTCCAGGCGTTGCTTCTGGGCCAGCAGCAGGTCGGTCTCCGCAGCCAGCGCCTCCACCTCACGCTGCAGCTCTGACTTCCAGCTGTGCGTGTCCTGCAGTTGCTCGCCCACCCTGCGCGTGGAGTCTTGCTGCGTCCCCTGCGCCAGCGCCTGGGTCTCTGCGGCCAGCTGCTGGCTTTCATGCCCCTGCAGCTCCTGCTCTGACTGGTTGCAGTTGGCGAAGGCCTGGTGGTAGCGAGCATAGCAGTTCTGGAACCACACCTCCAGCCGGCGGTGGCCAGGCCGGAGGACATGTAGGTGCCCGTGTTGCGGGCCACATCATACTCTTTGCAGGGCAGCTCGCAGGGCGGCATTGTCTGTGGGACCGGCTCTGGTAGGAGCATATCCGTCTGCACCATGGTGTCTTCCGCCCACCAGGGCCAGGGGAGTGAGGAGTGTGTGTGGTCAGCTTGTTGCGGTCAGCCCAGTGCAGTCATTGGTCGGCTCCAACGGCTCAGTCCCAGAGCAGGACGCGGCTCCCAGTTGCTTGGGTGACCCAGTAAACCAAGAGCTTCCTGTTGCCAAGAAACGGGATCTCTTCTCCAGTGGCTAGGGGAGGGGGCATTCAGGGCGGCAGGCAGAATTGCCCTCTTAAAGGGCCAGGCAGCCCCAGCCCCACCATCCCTGTCCCTGCCTCAGGGCAATCAACAGTGGCCAAGGGTTCCTGTCACTTAGAGGATCCCAGGGCCAGCCCGTCTCCAGCCTCTGTGTCCCACCCTTAGGGTTCAGGGTGTGGGTGGGGACCTACTGCCCTGGCCTCTTCGTTGATTCATCCATTTGTTCCTGGTTTGCTCTCTGATCCTGTCCTGTGTGGAGCTCCTTGCTCAGGGTGAACAAGACAGAGGAGGCTCTGCCCACCTGCCCCCTCAGGGCAGAGGGCTGTGGCTGTTGTGTGGATGTTGGGTGTGCTGAGTGATACTGTTACTTGATGCTGTACAGGTGGCTGCTCTCCCTGCCCTCCTGGCCCCAACAGCAGCCTGGTAGCACAGGGAGGGTCCCAGGCCAGGCCCCCTCAGGGGCAGTCTGAGGCAGTTCCTGCAGGGACTCTGCTCCATTTTCTCCTGGACCTAGTGCCTGAGAGCCAGGCCCTGGCCTCTGGCCTTCTCCTCCCAAGTCCCAGCCAGGGTCCCCTCAGGCTGGGCACAGTGGGGAGGGAGGGAGTCTGAGTGTGCTTTTCCCTGGGGAGTTGAATTCAGCTTCTGGGTAAGTGTCCAGAGTCAGATGCCCAAATCTGCCCCACAGGGCGGAGGCAGGTCCTGTGCTGCGGAGGCTGCCCTGAAAGCCACCCAGGGCCATGCTGCCTGGCAGAGGCTGGATGGGCAGGAAGCGCCCCAGGACACATCGGAGTCCCCCAAACCTGGGGCCAGGGGAGCCCCAGGCTAGGCACGATTCCCCACGCAGCCAGCGGAGGGTGGCTTTGGTCTGGCGGTGAGAAGCCTGCGGCTCCTGGCTCGGCCTCCCCTCTGCCTGCCTGGTGCATGCACTCCTGGGGACCCCAGCCCCTCCGGCCTCCTCTTCCCTGAGAACCCCGCACCAGAAAGTCCTCGCTAGGAAGTCCATGTCCTTCCTACAGCACAGGCCCCTGGGCCCCTGTTCCTTCCACCTTCACCTCCTCTCCCACCACAGCCCGCACCCTCACTCCAGCCACAGGAGCCAGGGCTCCTCCTGGGCCATTCCCACCACCCCGCCCAGGTCTCTCCAGCACCACCATGTGCCGGCCAGTGCCCTCCTCCTGGACCTGACCTCCCCCGGTCCTGACCTCTCCCGCGGCCAGAACCCTCAGTCCATGCTGCTGTCACCACGGTGCGCCTGGCCTGACACAGCCTCCTGATGGGGCTTTGAGAACAGCAGCCGGGAGACTTATCCCAACCCAGGCCAAGCCAGAACCTATTGCAGGTGGCCTGGGAACCTCTTCTCACTGTCCGTCAAGAATGGGAGGTCAGCGGACCTTCAGGGACTGGTGTGGTCTGAGAAACATCCTTGAGCCTCGCCATGACTCAGTTTCCCCAGATGGCAGCAGGCTGGAGCCCACGCAGGGCAGGATGCCAGGCTCCACCTTTTGTCTGGAACCTGTATTCACTGGGCACCTCTCTGTAGGCATAGCAGAGCAGAGCTGCTTGTTTCTGTCCCTGATCTGCAGCCCCAGGAGCCCGAGAGACCAGCTAAGCCAAGGAGAAGGCCTCTGGGCCAGAGCCCAGCTCTGCGAAGTGGGAGACCTCTCAGCCTCCACTTCCAGGTGCCCTGAAGTCGTTGGCAGGGGGTGCTGCCTACTTGGGGCTCCCAGACTAAGGGAACACATTCACCTGGTGACCACAATAGGCCCTGCAGGCTGAGGCACAGGATTTAACCAAGGATGCATCAGAGTTAGGGGACTGGGCCCTGACTCCTGCCAGCTGCAAACTCCCAAAGCCCCCAGCCCTCTCATGGGGTGAAGACACCCTGAAGGACACTCCAGTGTGCTCCCACCTCTGGGTTCTGCCAGCCAGAAAGTGGGACTCTCAGGCCACATGTGTCTTGCTGGATCTTAGCTTCAGGGACCCAGGGTGCTGGCAGCTCTCTGAGACCTGGGTCAGGGGGTGTCCATTAGAACACCTTGGTCAGGACCCAGAGATGGGGAGGGCAGGGCTAAGAGCACCCCAGGCAGTTGGCATCTCCAGAAAGCAGGAGGTAGGGCATGGCTCTGTGACAGATGTCCCATGGCAGGGAGGATTGGAGGGACAGAGGGACGTGCTCAGGGGCTGAGGGGCAGACGAGGCCACCAAAGGGCACCTTGGACACTGGATGGCCCCAGGAAGGCCCCTGAACCCCATCCTGATTGATCCAGGGCCAGTGACCTTGGCCCAGACTGCAGGCCTGGGGACTCAGGTTCCTTTAGTTTCTTAAGAAACTACTATACTCCTTTTTGGCATAGCTGTACGATTTTACGTTCCCACGAGTCATGTGTGAAAGCTCCAGTTTTTACTCATGCTCCCCAGCGTTTGATGTTTTATTTTTATTTTAGCTATTCTGATATACATGTGTTAGTCATTGTGGTCTTAATTTGCAAATTTCTAATGACTAATGATATTTAACATCTTTTCCTGTTCATAATTAAATACCATCTGTATTCCTTTTCACATATCATTAGCACAAATGTGAAAAATCAGAACAAAATTTTTCACACAACTTCAAAATTTTTAGAACAATACTCAAGGGAAAAGGTGTTTATTTAGAACAATGAAAACAATGAGACATTAACTTCCAGCTTAAATAAAGTTGATTGTGTGCATAAAAATGGTGAAAATATTGGACTTTCTTGGCAAAAGAAGAAAGGGGAAGACTTTATATTTTCTGACATAATATTCATCATTTGTCTTTGGTTTGTGTATTATGTGTATGATTTTGAAAAAAATGCATCAAAGATATAACTTTCTTTTTTTTTCTTTTTTTTTTTATTGATCATTCTTGGGTGTTTCTCAGAGAGGGGGATTTGGCAGGGTCATAGGACAATAGTGGAGGGAAGGTCAGCAGATAAACAAGTGAACAAAGGTCTCTGGTTTTCCTAGGCAGAGGACCCTGCGGCCTTCCGCAATGTTTGTGTCCCTGGGTACTTGAGATTAGGGAGTGGTGATGACTCTTAACGAGCATGCTGCCTTCAAGCATCTGTTTAACAAAGCATATCTTGCACCGCCCTTAATCCATTTAACCCTGAGTGGACACAGCACATGTTTCAGTGGGCACAGGGTTGGGTGTAAGGTCACAGATCAACAGGATCCCAAGGCAGAAGAATTTTTCTTAGTACAGAACAAAATGAAAAGTCTCCCATGTCTACTTCTTTCTACACAGACACGGCAACCATCCGATTTCTCAATCTTTTCTCCACCTTTCCCCCCTTTCTATTCCACAAAACCGCTGTTGTCATCATGGCCCGTTCTCAGTGAGCTGTTGGGTACACCTCCCAGACAGGGCGGCTGGCCGGGCGGGGGGGCTTCTCACTTCCCAGTAGGGGTGGCCGGGCAGAGGCGCCCCTCACCTGCCGGACGGGGCGGCTGGCCGAGCGGGGTCTGACCCCCCACCTCCCTCCCAGACGGGGCGGCTGGCCGGGCGGGGGGCGGACCCCCACATCCCTCCCAGACGGGGTGGCTGCCGGGCGGAGACGCTCCTCACTTCCCAGACGGGGTGGCTGCCGGGCGGAGGGGCTCCTCACTTCTCAGATGGGGCGGCTGCCGGGCGGAGGGGCTCCTCACTTCTCAGACGGGGTGGCTGCCGGGAGGAGGGGCTCCTCACTTCTCAGACGGGGCAGTTGCTGGGCAGAGGGTCTCCTCACTTCTCAGATGGGGCGGCGGGGCAGAGACGCTCCTCACCTCCCAGACGGGGTCATGGCTGGGCAGAGGCGCTCCTCACATCCCAGACGGGGCGGCGGGGCAGAGGCGCTCCCCACATCTCAGACGATGGGTGGCCGGGCAGAGACGCTTCTCACTTCCTAGATGGGATGGCGGCCGGGAAGAGGCGCTCCTCACTTCCTAGATGGGATGGCGGCCGGGCAGAGATGCTCCTCACTTTCCAGACTGGGCAGCCAGGCAGAGGGGCTCCTTACATCCCAGATGATGGGCGGCCAGGCAGAGACGCTCCTCACTTCCCAGACGGGGTGGCAGCCGGGCAGAGTCTGCAATCTCGGCACTTTGGGAGGCCAAGGCAGGTGGCTGGGAGGTGGAGGTTGTAGCGAGCCGAGATCATGCCACTGCACTCCAGCCTGGGCACCATTGAGCACTGAGTGAACGAGACTCCGTCTGCAATCTCGGCACCTCGGGAGGCCGAGGCTGGCAGATCACTCGCGGTTAGGAGCTGGAGACCAGCCCGGCCAACACAGCGAAACCCCGTCTCCACCAAAAAAATACGAAAACCAGTCAGGCGTGGCGGCGCGCCTGCAATCGCAGGCACTCGGCAGGCTGAGGCAGGAGAATCAGGCAGGGAGGTTGCAGTGAGCCGAGATGGCAGCAGTACAGTCCAGCTTCGGCTCGGCATCAGAGGGAGACCGTGGAAAGAGAGGGAGAGGGAGACAGTGGGGAGAGGGAGAGGGAGAGGGAGAGGGAGAGCAAAGATAACTTTCTGGAGTTTTCTTTGATATTATCCTTGCAAACAGAAAAGTTGGCACATGTTTCTGTATAAAACTGGTCAAAGTTGGCCTAGGAATGATCTTACATTGTACTTTCACTTTACATCATACTGTAAGAGTTTAATAATAGCTAAGGCATCAGCATTGATGTGGACTTATTATCCCTATTCAAGAGGTGATGTGAGGTTTAGGAGAGTTATGTGCCCTTTATCATAAAACAAATCTATGAAGCATTTATATAAAAACCCAGGATTTCTGGTTTCAAATTCAGTACTGTGCCATCTGCTTGATAGATTTGTTAGCAGGTTAGAGACATTTTATTCCATAACTTCCATGAAATATCACAGTTGTACTCTTGACTATGTTTGAATCACAAAAAGACTTTAATCTGCACTCAGTTCCTGTAACTAAAATCTTCAGTTTGAATATGAATTTCACTTAAAGAACAACCCTAGAAATTTCAGAGAGAAAAATACTTTACTTGCAGAGTACAATCTGCCTTTGCTTTGACAACTAGTTAGTTCACATATGTAAAATAAGTCTACCTGTCTGTATGCATAATTTAGATGTAACAGTAGTGTGGTAATGACTTGTTAAAGCAATTAGAACGGCAGTGGATCATGGCACAATTTACCTTAAAAGCCATGAGCAGAATACATCACAAGCTGTGATACAATAAATAGTCATTAGGTTTAAAGTAGTATCCACATATAAAAACACAAAGCATATTTTAGCCTTTTAAATGAAAGCTTCATTCAGTCAATATTGGTCTTCCTGTAGATGCATTTATGAAACAAAACCACAAAACATACAGCTTACCCGCTTCTCAAAACTCATTGCACAATAGGTTGAGGGACTTCTCTACACCAGGACCTATTATTAAAACCAGTAAGTCCTCAGTGAAAATCATTTATTTGCCTGGAGTGTCATCTGATGTGTCTGTTGTAGGCAGCTGTGGCAGTGGTGGGTGGTTTATTGACACGGACCCTGCCCACGTCTGTCTGTCCATCAGTGGGCTAGTGTCTCTCTGGCTGCACCTGAGAAGGGTCTATAGGAGTTAATGGCATTAGCATGGGATTGAAAAGAAATCATCTTGGATTCAAACTTCCATTTCAGTATTCATTTGCAGCTAAGTTTGTGTAGCATGCTTAATGTTTCTGAAGCTCAGTTTTAATAATGGTAAAGTATATCTGCCTAAAAGACAGGGACACATCCCAGTTTTGTGTTTTTTTTATTTTTATTTTATTGTATTTTTCTTGAGACGGAGTTTTGCTCTTGCTGCCCAGGCTGGAGTGCAATGGTGCAATCTCGGCTCACCACAATCTCCGCCTCCTGGGTTCAAGGGACTCTCCTGCTTCAGCATTCTGAGTAAATGGAATTACAGGTGCCTGCCACCACACCCAGCTAATTTTTTGTATTTTTAATAGAGACGGGTTTCACCATGTTGGCCAGGCTGGTCTTGAACCCCTGACCTCAGATGATCCACCCACCTCAGATGATAATCCCGCCAAGTGCTGAGATTACAGGTGTGAGCCACCATGCCCGGCCTTATCCTCAAAAAAGAATTTATTAAAAATGTATGTGTGTGTGTGTTTTAAGTAGAGTAACACTATATTAAAATGCCACTATATATGTTCTAACAAAAAACCTCAATTTAACAAATGTATGTGGGGAGAGGGAGAGAGAGAGGGAGAGAGAGAGGGAGAGATGGAGGGAGAGAGAGAGGGAGAGAGAGAGGGAGAGAGAGAGGGAGAGAGGGAGGGAGAGAGAAGGAGTGGGGCAGAGAGAGAGAGAGAAGAGAGAGAGATATATATCTCTTGTGTCTCTACCTTTTTGGATGATGACCCCAGTCCTAACAGATTAGGGCCTTACCCTTTTGCCCCTATTTAACCTTTACCTTCTTAAAAGCTCCTTCTCCAAATACAGTCACACTGGGAGATAGGGCTTCAGGTTAGGAATTCTGGGGGGACATAATTCTCTCCAGAACAGACACTAATACCATGAGTGTTCAGATTGCTAGTGAATGTGTTCTTGTTACAATTATTTTTGCTTTGCAGTTTTAGATAATGAATACTTGGATAATAAATACCCACTGTATTCTAATTTTTTCAACACTTCTTACTTGCATGGATTCTAAACAGAAGTCCAATGTAATCCTTATGTCTGTTTCTCTGTAGACAATGTGTTTCTTCCTCTGCCTTATTTTAATCTTTTATCTTTGTTACAGGTTTTCTCCAGTTTGAATATGATATTCCTAGGTATATTTTTAAAATATTCATTCTGCTTGGTGTTCTGTGAGCTTTTTGGATTTGTAATTTGGTGTCTGTCATTAATTTGTGTTTTTTTCCTAGTTAAAAAAATGAACTTTATTGATTTTACATTCTCAACTTTCACTTATTTTCAAAATGAGAGGCAAGACACATAAACTCCAAGATTTCAGTCCTGAATGCAATAGTACAAGATTTTCAAGTTACATAAGTGAACTGCATAAACACCACTAGTTTCAAGTGTACCCTATAAGAAACACGTGGACATACTTGCGTTGTTTAACCACACGGTGTCATATCAATAAACATCAAAGTATCTGACATATATTTGTCCATGAAAGGTAAACACAACTCTGAGTATCAAATTAAATTAATCATTTGCCTTTTATAATCTAAATCAGAAATTGAAAAACAGGAAGAATGTAGAGGTAAGTGGCTGAAAATGCTCTGCTTACTGCACACAAGCACATCATGACAAAGAATGCTAGAAGTAGCTGTCCTCAGAAGTAATAATTGAACATTTAAAATATTATTTTCTCAGAAAAGTTAAAGCTTTTAGTGTAAAAAGCATGGTAAATAACATTTTAACTTAATAGTTAACTATATAGCAAATTATAGATTTCAAGCAATTAGTTACCCACATTTCACCAGAACCTTCAGTGAAAGTGTCTACTCTCAACATTGACCAGAATCTTCCTTTTCTGAAATGTCTACTCTTTAGAGTTGCTTTAGCTTTACATATCTGTAAAACCTAAGATTACTCAATGAGAAGTTACAGTTTATTCTGTACTAGATACACATAATATATATAGATTTAGAACAAATGGATGTTTTTCAACTTCAAAAAAAGTATTTTAATTTACATAATGTTAGATTGTTTTTCACCCATGTGTATACATAACAGTGTTTCCCTAATTCACAGGATCCACTTCCATAATTCTAAAGCAAAAATAGAGGCACGCAAACGGATAATAATTCATAGTTTTATGCCTTTTTTAACCTATCTTTAAAGAAATTCAGTTGCCATTTAGACAAAGATGTGATGAACCTGTAACAGATTTCTATGACTTGGAAAATTAAAGGTCTAAAAATCCTAAATGTTGTAGCTCTGGGCAGTTTGCAATCTGTGCATGGGTTCACTCACCCTATAGTCCGTGAACTCCCTTATCCTGCAAGCTGTAGGTACTTTCAGCAAATATGAGACTCAATAAGACTAACGAAGGGCTTTTTTAAATTAGTTCCCCTCACATTTGATTCTAATCTTGCAATGAACAGATTTAATGTACTAGTGAGTTAAATTTTAAAGTAATTATAAAGGCATTTACTCTATCATAAATGAATGAAATGTAAGAATCACACTTAAGTCTTTCATTTTAATGAATGGTATCTTTCATTTATATACAAAGGAATTCATTTGCCAGCAGCATTTAAATATAGAAATAGTCTCATCTTTTCTCTAGTGCCTTTTATAAAGCAGTGCCATTTCTAACTAGGTGTATTTGTTTCCCAGCTATTCAGTAACTACACTATAGGTATCTAATAGATTCAAGAAAAGATTGGAAAATTGAGAAGATTTAGCATTTTAAACATTTGAAAAATGTTGCTACAAAGCATAGATTATGAATGCATTAGTAAAATAAATTGACACCTTATGTGAGAATCATTAAGTTGGTTTAATTATATCGCAGAAGTATGGGCTCACTAATATTTATAACAATAATGTACCTTAACACTGGACCTCCTTGACAGCGGTGTTAGAGATGGTTAGGTAGAACCTATATTACGGAAGTCAGTGTTGCCCATTTCTTTAGTTCAGTGATTAAAATTGAAATTGCTTTTACAAGACAATTGAACTGCTGCTTACAATATAAATAGAATACCAACAGGATTCCTGTTGTATTCACATTATTCTCTAATTGGTACTTTTGCATTTCCACTCTGACCTGACCTTCAGTAGTTCCTTTATTTTTATTTTCAAGCATTTTTGTGAGTATATAATAGGCATATATATTATGGGGTGCATGAGATGTTTTGATACAGGCATGAAACATGAACTAATCACATCACGGAGAGTGGGTATCCAACCCTTTAAGCATGTATCCTTTGTGTTACAATCCAGTTAGATTCTTTTAGTTATTTTTAAATGTACAATTATTGATTAGAGTCCCCCTGTTGTGCTATCAAATAGTATGTCTTATTCATTCCTTCTGCCTATTTTTGTACCCATTACCCGTGCCCTGTCTCCCTCCCCAGCCCCCTAGTACTTACTATGTCCATGAGTTCAATTGTTTTGATTTTTAGATCCCACAAATAAGTGAGAACATTCAATGTCTGTCTTTCCGTGCTTGGTTTATTTCCCTTAACATAATGATATCCAGTTCCTTCCATGTTGTTGCAAATGACTGAATCTCATTCTTTTTTAGGGCTGAATAATACTCCACTGTGTGTATCTACCACATTTTCTTTAATACATTAATCTGTTGATGGACACTTAGGTTGCTTCCAAATCTTAGCTATTGTCAACAGTGGTGCAACAAACATGGGAGTGCAGATAATTTCTTCGATATACTCATTTCTTATTTTGGGGGTATATATCCAACAGTGGGATTGCTGGATCGTGTGGTACCTCCATTTTCAATGTTTAGAGGAACCTTCAAACTGTTCTCCACCGTGGCTGTACCAGTAGTACCTTAAAATGCAAATGCAATTGGTAAAAGAACAAGGCAGCATGTAGTGCTTGCACTTACAAATACTACCAGTTTTGTAAAAATTTGCATTTTTTCTGTCCTTGAAAGAGTAACCACTTAATAAAACAGATAATTAAAAGCGCAATATTCCTTCCTTTGCATGGTATGCAGGAATGGTGAAAGCAAAGAAACAGTCATCCCTTCTCTTCCCCCCACTTCTGGTCTCCCGAAATAGGAACGCCAGGTCAGATAGGTGGAGGAGGGAAATGGGGCACAGATCAAGGTATGATGAACCTCTTAAATAGAAATCTGGCCAGGCTCAGTGGCTCACGCCTGTAATCTCAGCACTTTGGGAGGTCGAGGTGGGCGGATCACGAGGTCAGGAATAGAGACCATCCTGGAGAACACGGTGAAGCCCCGTCTCTACTAAAAATACAAAAAAAATAGCCGTGTGTGGTGGCGGACACCTGTAGTCCCAGCTACTGGGAGGCTGGGGCTGGAGAATGGCATAAACCCGAGGGGCGGAGCTTGCAGTGAGCGGAGATGGCGCCACTGCATTCCAGCCTGGGCGACAGAGCGAGACTCCTTCCCCCCACCGCCAAAAATAAAAAATAAAATAAAATAAACACTTTCCCCAGAATGCTAGCCTGATGGGAACTCCACCCCATCCATTCCAACCTAGTAAGGATAGTTTAGTTGTCTTTTCTGGTCTCACTTCCTTACATCTAGTGTTCTTTTTTTGTTTCTGTTATTAAATTTCAGAAGACAAACCTTAGCATTTTCTAAAAGAAATTATTTTTTACCTAAATACATTGGACTTTGGTCTTAATTTGAAGGAATCGGATAAGTGGCCTTTAAGAGAGCGTTCCTACTCCTTCTCTTCCAGTGGCTGCTCTGAGTCCCTGAAAGAGGGTGTGATGTGAACCATCTGGGTTGTGAAGTGGATTTTGTTGAGCCTGTGTTTTTTAAGTCCATTAGTCCTGCCCGAGGCTGTGCGCCCTGGAATCCTTGGCTTCACCTCTGGACCACCTTCAGCCAAGTCGTGATGGTGGAGAGGGTCCCCCCATCTTCCAGGACGTGTGAGAGTTTGTAGGTGGTGAGATGGAGGAGGCACCTTTTAAATCTTCCAGTACCCACCCCCGCTGCTGGCGGTGCTCTCCCCTTCGTCCTTGTCCAGGACTCCCACCAGGGTCTCGATCTCTTCTGTGATGCTCTGACTCACATACTGGGAGGCCCTTTTCCCAATGTAGTCCCTGATGTCCACATCGGCGTCCTAGGTCCCCACTAGCAGCTTCACCATCTCCAAGGTACATGGCTGCCAAGTGCAGGGCGGTGTAGCCCTGGCCTTGCAGTTCCCAGGCAGCAGAGGCTCGTTGGGGAAGTTGACCAGCATGGCCAGAAGCTCCAGCCTGCGGTGCTAGGCGCCTGAGCAGGCAGGTGAGGCTGTGATGAAGCCCAGAGTGGCCAGAAGGCCGGCTGGCACGGGGGCAACCCCCTAAGCTGTCCACTCTCCATCGGAGGCTGAGAGAAGCCAGCCGTGCTCCCTGGTCCAGCTCACCCAGCCCCGCAGCTCTCCTCCTCCGCGGACGGGAAAGCCAGCGCTGCGCCACCACAGTCACTCGCCTCTGCGGTGTCCTCGGAGGAGAAGCTCCCAGGCTGCTGCCTCCAGGACACAGGTTCCTCTTCAGGGGCGGGGCGCTGCCCCTTCCCAAGTGGCTCAAGTTCTGGCGGAATGGCCTCGGGGCGGTAGCTCCCCAGGAGCTGCCCCTGTCCGCCTCCTGGCAACCGTGGGGCGGGGGCTCCAGGTCCTCGCTGGTCCCAGGTCCCGCGTCTGGGGTAGGGGCTGGTGGTGCCGGCGAGCTCTTCCTGTGTCCCCGCCGCTCAGGGCGGCCCGTGCAGGAGCTGGGCTCCCCCTCGCCCAGCTCGGCCCTGCCTGTGGAGCACCTCGGGGACCGCTGTTTCAGGAAGGGAATGGTGAATGCTGCGCTCCGCTTTCACGTGGACGCGGGACAGGTCCCAGGGGCGCGGCCTCAGGCGGAGGCCCCGCCAGAACCTCTTCCTGAGACGCAGGTACTGGGCGCCATCGGCGGGTTTGGGTTGGTGCAGTGGCCACAGCGTTCACCCGGAGATACATTTAAACAGTTTTATTCTCCTGTTTTTTTTTTTTTCATTCCAGAAACCATTACTACTATGCAACAAAGTAAAAATATCTAGTTTAAAGAATAATTTGATACGGTCAGGTGGGGATGAGTGCACACGTGTGTGTACACACACACGCAGGCTCTTAATGGGATATTTTGGCGGAGCAGAGGGATAAGGCTTTTATTTCGTTGGTGTGTTGAGTTAGAATCGCCCTTCTCACAATTAAATAATTTAAATCAGGAGTTTTGTTAAAGCTAATTTGTAGAACTAGACAACATCTTTTCTCCATATGTTTATACACATATACACATCTCTAATATTTGCATTTATTACTTCATCTAAAAGATCTTGGAAAAAGGGTCCTAAGTCTTTGGCTAGTTAAGGTAAAAATCTACATTTTAAAGTAATAAAAACATTTGCTATGGACAGAGACATGCAGACACTGTGGATGAAGCTGATTGATGTTCCATTGAAGGAAATGACATGGAGTTTTCTAAGGGAAAGCCCAGCATGCTGCAAGGAGAGGGGAGGTCCCGGGAGGGAAATGGAGTCAGCATTAGGATCTAAGTGTCACAGGGGAGTGTGTTCCCAAAAAAGACTGTGACTGTTTCTGTGTCCATCCTGAACTGGTTACCATGAGTGTGTGTGTGTGTGTGTGTGTGTGTGTGTGTGTGTGAATTAAAAGAGGAGTTACATGCTGGGGCATTCCTGGTATCTCAACTGGCATCTTAGCTGCTGGTGATGATGGCTATACAATTTCCTCAGTATTCAATGGTGCGTATTTTGAGTTAACAATCCACCCATTGGCTGAGGCAGGTGGATCATCTGAGGTGAAGAGTTCGACACCAGCTTGGCCAATGTGTGAAACTTTGTCTCTACTAAAAATACAAAAATTAGCCAGGCATGGTTGCAGCACCTGTAATCCCAGCTACTCGGGAGGCCGAGACAGGAGAATTTCTTGAGTCCAGGAGACAGAAGTTGCAGTGAGCTGAGATGGGCCACTGCACTCCAGCTTGGGCAGCAGAGTGAGACTTGGTCTCAAAAAAAAAAAAAAGTTATTGTGACATGCTGTACACATTCACAAATTCAGTGTCTCCCAGAAGTCTGAGATTCTTTTTTTTTTGAGATGGAATTTCACACTTGTTGCCCAGGCTGGAGTGCAATGGTGTGATGTCATCTAACTGCAACCCCTGCTTCGTGGGTTCAAGCGATTCTCCTGTCTCAGCCCAAGTAGCTCCTGCCTCCCAAGTAGCTGGGATTACAGGCATCTGCCACCATGCCCATCTACTTTTTTTATTTTTAGTAGAGTTGGGGTTTCTCCACGTTGGTCAGGCTGGTCTCGAACTCCTGACCTCAGGTGATCCACCCACCTCGGCCTCTCGAAGTGGTGGCCATGAGCCACCATGCGCAGCCAGAAAGTTTTAAGGCTATGATTATTAGACCATCATACACACACAAAGTACTTAAAAAGTTTCAGGAACGCTGTCCCTCATTGGCCTGGTATGACAAAGATAAAAAGAAGTCGGTCGTGAAAATTTCTGAATGTGGTTTAGGACAAGGAACCCCAGTAAGATTCAGAGACAACCTAGAAAATTGAAAGAAAATTTTACTACCCAAATCACCCTTCTATAAAACATAATAGAAGATGTCAAATATGAAAATAAAACTGTCCTCTGGGCCCTCAATTTTCTGTGTTATGGGGAAGGCAGACAGCTACTCAGCAGTTATATCCTATAAGAATGGATAACACTAAAACAACTGACAGCATCAAGTATTGGTTAGAAAGTGGAACTGATTGTCTCAAACATTTTCATTGTAGTTTAAGATGGCACAACCACTTAGGAAAATGTCTCCCCATTTCATACAATGCCAAATATATACTTATTTTATAACCCAGAAAATCCACTCTTAAACTCAAGAAATGTGAAAATATTATTACAGAAAAACGTGTATATCTGATTTGTTCGTAGCAGGTTTATTCATGATAGCCTCAAATCCGAAACTGCTTTTGTGTCTATCAATAGTGGAGTGGATTATAAACAAAACAAGCAAAGGCCTCAAACCTGTGGTATAGTCATAAAATTGAGTATTACAAAATAAAATTAATGAATAATCAATAGGAGCAAAATGATAAGTGTCACAAGCATGTTTAGTGAATGAACATAAAATTATATAATTTATAGTTTCACTTATGTAAATGGTGAAAACAGACAAAACTATCCTTTTGTGGAAAGAATCAAAACCATGGAAGCCTCTGTGTTCAAATACTCACTGGAAATGGGCATGAGAAAACGTGTTTCTGCCAGATCTTCTATATGCCTGATGTACATTCACTGGATGTATTTTGCATATACTATTTTTGCAAATAAAACTGAGATAGACGCAAAATAACTCAAGAGAAAATAGCTAGAAATATGTAGAGTTGGGATAGAAGCCTTGGAAGCTCCCCCCTACCTTGCTCACCTGGCACAGGCCAAGGAAGCCCTGGGACAATGCTGTGAGCGATCTGAGGGCCTTCCAGGGGAGCCCCGCCAGCCCATGCTGGTGCCCGAGCTGAGCTGCCCGCCGCCATCTGAATATGTTGCAAAGACAGTGCTGGCCTGGCAACCGGTGACGCTCCATGCCCCACCCCGACCCCCACTTCTACCCAAGTAGCGGCAACCCCAGAGACAGATGCCTGGGCAGCAGCGGCTAAGTCTGGCAATTGGCCAGGCGGCCAAAGGACAGGAACTGGCCGTTCACCCCATCCCAGTTTCCATGGAGCACTCAACCACCATGGCCCCTGAGCAGACCCTCAGGTTTGCCTGCAAACCTGACGTCATCCAGGGGAGCTCCACCTTCCCGCGCCAGCGCCTCAGCTGCTGCAGAAAGCTGCAAAACTGCAAGTTGCACACAGGCAGAGATGACGGAGCAACCCCTGACCCTCCGTGCCACTCACCCTACCCGCACACACACCTGCCACGTGGACCCTGAGGCCGGTGCCTGGGCGCCCAAGTCAGGCAGTCCGCACAGCAGTGGCACCAGGGTGAAAACCTGCTGCTCAATACCATCCCGGTTACCACAAAGAGCCAGCCCCGGCGGCCCCTGAGTTCTTGGAGGAGGCCAAGTCACAGCAACCCCTCAAGTGGGCGGGTGATGCACTTGACCCTGAGGACATCAGGTACCAGGCCCGCCAGCTCACGCCGGCATGGGAGCCGCAGCTGCAGTCTAGACGTGGTGCACCAGCAGTAAGTGACTGGACACCCCAGACCAGGCCCGCCCCCCAGTAGCGTGGATCCTGAGGCCAGACCCCCAGGGCGGCAGAATCAGGAGACGGGCCCCGCCAGCAGCCGCTCAGTTTCATCCGTGTGGATACAGAGTGTCCAGCACCAGGGCCCAGGATCCAGAGAGATGCCCAAGAGGAGCGGAACTTGAGGCCAGGTGGGCTGTGCGCTCTGCGACCCTGAAGCCATCCAAGGGAAGCTCCGCCATCCCACGCCAGTGCCAGATCTGCAGCTGCAAACCGCGCGTGGGGCACTGGCAGCAGTGAGGGCTGGTGGGGGAAGGAGCAGCCCCTGACTCTGCTTCCATGCCTCTCCAGCTACCTGACACTAGCCACACAGACTCCAGGGCCAGAGCCTCAGCTTGAAGCCGGGCCATCCGCAAAGCCACCCAGGTGGACGCGGAGTGCCCTTGCCAGCACCCTATCTCCCTTCCGAGGAGGAGCGGGGCGGGCTGCAAGGCCAGACAGGCCCTCCTTCTCAGGCCGGGCTGGTGGCGCTCCTGTGATCCTGGGGCCGCCCGGGCGATCCCAAGAGGACCTGCGAGCCCATCGGCGCCCGCCCAGAGCTGCAGCCCCAGCTGCCGGCGCGCACCGCCAGGGAGCGGCTTCCGGGAGCCGGGCAGCAACCGCCGTGCAGGCGCGCACCCAACGGCTTTGCGAGGCTCATTCGTTCTGAGAGGTCGGAGGCTGCGAGTGTCGCTGCTGAAGGCTGTGGTGGACCGGGCTGGATCGCGGACTTTTATTTAAAAATATTGAACTCCCCAAATGTATTTATCCATTCTTTCATTCCATTTATTCATCAAACATAACCTGAGTACCTGTTATGTAGCAGACATATTCTGCTATCTCTCAGGACCCTTCTGTCCTTAAAAACTTCATGTTTACCTGCCCTGCCTGCGCAAGCTAAGAGATTTAAAATAGGAATATTGGGACTTAATCTTCTTGAAACTTTGTCTCCCAACTTTCAAACAAAAGCATTTCTGAAGTTAGAAAATAGTACAAGATAACCTTTAACTGCCATTCAAAAGTTTATCAGTCTTAAATACTAATATTAATCATTGGAAAATCTTATTTGCATATATTCTGTAAGCATAAATATTGAATAAAATGAGCCATATGTATTCATTTGAATCATGAGTTTCCTTTGTCTTCAATTTGTTTGAAAATCAAGGAATTAATGTGTTTAAAAAATTCATTATTATTATTTCAGTGTTCTATCCCCATAGTACCTTTAAGAACTAAAATGTATTTACATGCCAGTTATATGCCTAGAAGTGCCCTAGACCTGCTGACTACACCATATTCTACTTAATGTAAGGTCTCATGGATTGTGAGATGCCCCGCTATTTTATATATCGATAAGATAATTTTTAAGATGCTACCAATTATAGTTATAGTAATATAAGTGACATTCCAATGTCAGAAGTGTTAAAATGTGATCTACTCTTTAAGCCATCCTGCAAAGTAGGTATAATTGTGTCTTTTACCTAATTAAATTGTTTTTGTTAAGTAGTAGTAATAGTAACAATTATAATATCTGGCTGGGTGCAGTGGCTCACACATGTAATACCAGAACTTTGGGAGGCTGAGGTGAGAGGATTGCTTGGTGCCAGGAGTTTGAGACCATCCTGGGCAACAAAGTGAGATTCTTACTCTACAAAAATTTTTAAATAAATAGCTGGGCATGCGGGTGCACATCTGTAGTCCCAGCTACTCAGGAGGCTGGGGATGGAGGATCGCTTGAGCCCAGGAGTTCCAGGCTGCAGTGAGCTATAGTTACATCATTGCACTCCAGCCTGGGCAAAAGAGTGAGACTTTGTCTCAAAAAACAAAAATCTTACAATTATTGAGTTGTTATAGGAACTATTCTAAATACATAGCTTCTCATTTAAGCATCACGATGGTGTCCTATGAGATAGCTACTATTGTCATCTTTCTTAATGAGGAAGTTGAGACACAGAAAGGCTAAGCAATAGTTGGTAAGTTACAGGGTTTAAAGTAGGACTCAAGCCCTGGTTGAACTGAATCCAAAGAGTGAGCTCTTTCTATTCAAATAGGCTGCTGTTTTCATTAAGGCAGTGAGCAATAAGAGCTAGTAAGTATTGTGCTTTCTTCAGCAAAATTAAGTATTTGTTTTGAAGGCAGAGGAAAAACATGCTCTTCAATTTTTACAGTTACATGAATGATTGTATGTTTTGAGATGTTGCACTACAGTTTCCTAAAAAGTCCTCTTACTCTCGTAGAACTGCTCTACATTTGGCCTGTGCCAGTGACCATGTGAAAGTGGTCACTCTCCTGGTTAGCAGAAAATGCCAGATTGATATCTGTGACAAAGAAAATAGAACGCCTTTGATACAGGTATATTAGAGCCAACTCTTTTAGCATGACATGGATTTGATTTGCATACATAAAATTAAAATAAATTGATCTCATTTAAATATAACTAGTTGGTGAAACCTGTGGAATGTGTATTTTGAATTTCTTAGACTTTACAATCTATTTATTGGTCTAATACGGACAGGCTGTCCATTGCCAGGAAGAGGCTTGTGCCGTTATTCTGCTGGAACATGGCACCAATCCAAACCTTAAGGATATCTATGGCAACACTGCTCTCCATTATGCTGTGTATAGTGAGAACACCTCACTGGCAGAAAAACTGCTTTTCCATGGTGCAAATATTGAAGCACTGGACAGGGTATAGATCAATCAACTTTCTTTCCAAAATATTTGTTTTAACATTGACATAGGTAAGGGTCATTTTTTTATATTTGGAAGCTCAACCATTCCCTGAATGCAAATGCAAATTTTTTTGAAATAATTGTCTAAGATTTTATTTTAAATATTCATAATTTTAAAGGAGCATTAAAGGGTACAGCTTTATAAAACGCACTTTGGAAAATATTTCTGAATTTGTTAAAGGTAAAAACTTTTCAACTTCTTTTCTACGCAGGGTTATTCTTTCCTTTTTTCCCCCCTAATTAGTGTAAAACATCACAGGAAAGAACATATGCCCTGGAAGTAGGATTTATCTTAAAACTCAGACAAAACTAAAGCAACTTACAAGAAGTGGACATGTTGCTGCTGCTGATAATTTTCTGAAAAACTGATGTATCATCTCTCAGTGGCACAAGGCTTGAGAGGGAAAAATGAGAAGGGAAAAGGAGAGCAATCAGAAATATGCAGGTCACTTGGAAATTAGGTAATGAGGGAAAATGCCAAGAAGAGTTTTTTTTTTTTCTCTTAGTTTGTTGTTCTTCCAGTTTATGTGTTGAGACAAGGCGTTCCTTAGCTTTGGGTCTAATAATTTTTGGTTTGAAAATGACAGTGAGTTGAAACTTGCCTAGAGATTAATTTTAGGAAGACTTTGAGGAAACCAGATTAGCAGGGAATATGTGGTGATGAAGTGGGAAACACTTCAACAGAAGGTGGAACAAATTATTAACTGACTTATTGCCCATCCTGGCAGAAACAGCCACTTAGATAAGAGTCTAAAGCCTCCTCTCAAACCTAGAATGTCTTGGTGGAAGGTAGGAGATAAGGAGCTTATAAATAGGAAAATCAAGTGGGATTTTGAGTTTACTTGTCTGTGTTCTACCCATACCCAGAAAACTTAACTGGAGCTTTGATAAATGACACTATCTCTTACTCTTTTCTCTTTTTGGCCACATGTCCAACTGATAAAGGGAATTAGCCATGGGGACGAGAGATGAGACTGAAGTGATTGCTGCACTAATTCTCAGAATTGTGCATTACAGTGACCTGAGGACATTTTGTTAAAAATCTACAATTGTAGGCTTTCCCCTGAGGATTTTGATATAATAGATCTAATAAGGCCTGAACATTTTTAACAATGTTTTCTTGAAGCTGGGCACAGTGACATGTTCCTGTAGTCCCAGCTTGAGCCTGAGTTTAAGTTCAGCTTGAGCACCATAGTGAGACTCTTGCCTCTAACAACAATAACAGAAAAAAAAAAAAAAAACTCAAGTTTTGGATACACTCCTGATTAAGAACCCCAGAATAGATACGTGCAACATATAAATTTCTGTATCTCAAAAATGTAAGAAATCTCTAGAAGAATTGGTGTTTGATAGGTGCTACTTCCTTCAAAGTTCTCCTTTTCAGTAATATTAGCCTGACATCTGTTTTTCTCTACATCTGTGACTGGGAAGTGAAAAGAAATATTACTGGTAATATCTCTCAGCTTACAGAATAACACCTTTTCCTTCCCACCGTTAATCCTTCACAAACATTCAGGGAGTCTTTAGCAATTTGCTTATGGGTAATCTTTCAATAAGTAGAGGCTGACCCTTTCATGATTTCATGTCCCTTTGTCACCATGCACGTGATTATGTGTCAACAAATGTTCATTACAAGTTGGGTTTTCTCAATTAGAATAGTAGCAAATCCTAAACTTTTGTTTTAGTTGAAGTTGTATTATGAACTAGCTCAGTATGTTTGTTAAGTTTATAGAGCTTTAGCATACCCAAAATGTCAGTTTTAAACACTGAAGTCCATGGAGTTAATAAAAATACAGATATGAATTCTTTTAATAATTTAGTTTTAGCAGTCCTATGAACCAGTTATCTATTTGGTTAACAATCTTGGAAAATTATATAAAAATATATTTTAAATGAATAAATGTTGGAAAAATTCTTGAAGCAGGTATTATGAGTCTTTTTTGGCAATTTTTATTATATATGAGAGCCTGATTTTTTGGTAAAACCTATGATACTAGAGAAAGAAAATATTTTACATGCAAATACTTGGATTATACACAACCATTTAGTAACACATTAGAAGCGAATATAAAAACACAAGGGCTATTTTCTAATGTGGCACACAGATTTGTTTGTTTGCCTCTATAAGTTGAATCAGCATGTAAAATTTAGAAGACTGGTGTAGAAATCTGGACTTCAGGCTTATTCTAAAAAATCAAATCTGGCATCTCTGAGTTTCTATCACTGTTTGATCTGCTGTGCAGAGGTTACCCCTTTAGAGAAGGTATGTATTCTCCAGTTTGGTACTGTGCCCACCTTAGTACTTCCTTTACTCAGGCAACCCTGCTTTGTCCTTGTAAGTATCTGAGTTTACAACTCCTATGTTATAGTATATTTTGATAAAGATTTCAAGGTTTTTAAGTCAGCATGTATTTGTTATAATATATAGTCTATAGAGTATATAAATCCCTCAGTTATGGAGTTGAATTTTAGAATTTAGAAGTTTTGAAACTCTTTTCTTTATATATACCACAAATAATTATCTGTCCATAAGAATGCCTAGAAGCCTTTTTAGGTTATTCCTGGTTATAGTTGGATAATTTATGAATATTGCAGACATTACATCTTTCTCCTCAGGGCTCTTCCTTAGAAATGCCAGTGACTTACTGGCTTTTATTATGCCAGAAATAATTCATATGGATCAGTATGAGAACTTTTATTGATAAGACATTATGTTTTTATTTCTGATTTATATTTTGTCTAAAATAAAAAATAATTTTAAGTAGCCCTTTAAGTGGAAGCCAATAAAAATGGATTTAAAAAGTAGAGCTGCCCTGAGGTCCTGGGATTACCATTATAATTGAGAATGGTATTTCTTACTGAGCTTTGGTTTTTTAAATATTTGTTCTTAAGTTTTTTAAACCTATTTCTCTTACACAGAACATACTGAGCTTTCTAACAGTAAAGATAAAAATCTGTTCTCTCGTATTAGGGAAAAAACCCATGGACTATTTAATAATAAGGAAAATAAGTGCATTGGAAGCCAATCTCTCTTAATTCAGAGCTCATTTCCATAGTGACCCATTTGGAGCAGGAGTGCCTGACATTGGCATCTGCGATCCTGACAGCATTGATAGAAGTGAATCAAGCAAGTTTGTACCACTCATAAGAAACCTCCACCTGCATTGGGAAGCTCTGGCAACTGTACCCCTAAAACAATTCCTCAAATGTTAATGTTTGCCACAAATAGTATTGTCAAATGGGGATTAGGTAAACTTCAATAGATTTCTTGATTATTGGACATAACATACAGTTTTATAATATTTCTCAAATGCAGATTGTCATGGAGTCTTTCTCTTGGGGTATAATACTTCTGGTAAAGCAAATATTCTTTGGAATATAGTTTAAGAAACACTGCTTTAGTGAGAATAATTTAGATCATTAATTTCTGTAAAAAACTTAAAATGTTTGCTACTATGTCTTCGGGTTTTGGGGCTATAGAGACAAAAGATACAGCCCTTGCCTCAAGAAGCTCTTGGTTTCAGTGGGAAACAGTGAAATGATTACAATGTACCATGCTAAGTGCTGTGAACAAAGCAAGGATTCTTGGGACTGGTAAACTTTTAAAGTGAGTTTTGGCAATGACCACAGTTAATCTGGGGAGACAGAGGAGGGTTGTTGCAAGGCAAAGCCCAGCACATCAGAAAGCACAGAGGAGTGAGAAGGAAGGGGCTGCTTTTCATTTACTTCCTTTCTATATTGTATGTTGAAGTTCAAAACATCCCAGAGAAGATTTTCATTTCAGTTGAGAAATATGTAATTTTGTGAATTATTAATTTTTTTTGTGCTGTTTCATAGGACAATAATACTCCACTTTTATTCACCATAATTTGCAAGAAAGAGAAAATGGTGGAATTTTTATTGAAACCCAAAGCAAGTACACATGCTGTTGATAGGCTGAGATGGTACAGTTGTTCTTTTTTAAAAAATAAAACCTGAGTATTCTAGAGTGGTAACAGTCACTCAAGTCAGAAATATCAATAAGAAGATTAACATAATTATTGGCATATAATGAAAAATATCACCACGAATAATCAGGTAGACCAGCAAATATTTGGACTGAGTAACATAAAGAATAGTATATAGGAGGATTCACCTTCTCTTATAATATAGAGTGTTTGGTATTTATGATCAGATGTTTTTGGTACTGTAATCTTTTATGAGCTAAAGGGTTTTGTATTAGTTTTATTAATTTTTTTTTGAGATGGAGTCTTGCTCTGTTGCCAGGCTGGAGTGCAGTGGTGTGATCTTGGCTCACTGCATCCTCCACCTCCCAGGTTCAAGCGATTCTCCTGCCTCAGCCTTCCTAGTAGCTGGGACTACAGGTGCACGCCACCATGCCCAGTTAATTTTTGTATTTTTAGGAGAGATGGGATTTCACCATGTTGGCCAGGATGGTCTCGATCTCTTGACCTCGTGATCTGCTCTCCTTGGCTTCCCAAAGTGCTGGGATTACAGGCATGAGCCACTGCACCTGACCAGTTTTATTAATTTTTGAAGTGTGGACTTTTCGTTTATGACTACTAGTATTGTCATTATTATTATTATTGTCATTGTTGTTGTTGTTGTTTTCAGCCTGCACATAGCTCTTATCTGACCCCTAGCTGATTGGACTGGGAAAGCAATGGGGAAATCTTCATCTAAGTCTTTGCCTACTTTACATAAGTGACCTCAGCACAGTTCAGTTTCTTGGCCATCAAAGGACTATAAGTTAGCAACTTGTATTATGTCTTACCCCAGTGGGACAAGAGGCTTCCCTGTTGTCCCTTTCTTTTAGTCTTGGTGACAATTTACTAAGATGAACACTTGAGCACCCTAGATGCTTATAGACCCAAGCTAGTACATGCAAATGGTTATTACGTCTACACTGACAGGCGGATATTAAACTGGTAAATAAAGTGTATCAAACTAGCTTTTGATATTAAAGTTCTTGAGTGGAGTTATTTCTTTGTTATTTTAGGTCAGCCCTCATGCTTGCTATACACTATGACTCACCAGGTATTGTCAATATCCTTCTTAAGCAAAATATTGATGTCTTCACTAAAGACATGTGTGGACGAGATGCAGAAGATTATGCTATTTCTCATCATTTGACAAAGTAAGTGTTTATGTTAAAAGGCCAGTTGATACTAAATTGAAGTTTAAAATAATTGCAACTACTCCATCTTACACATTAGGTGACAGTTCATAGTTTGGTTCAGATAGTTTGAAATAGCCATGAGTTAGTCTACCTTTTAGCCAGAAATCAAGCAGAAGTCTAGATTAGTTAGAAGTAGAGTGCAAGATTTTTTCTGGATTTTTGAGAACTTTATCCCTAGGGATCTCAATGTTGTTCATTTTATTCTAAGTATAATCCCCATGCATTGGATAAAAAGAGCCACATCTTTGATTTTTTTCCTTTCCTTTCTTTTTTTTCTTTTTTTTTTTTAGAGACAAGGTCTCACTCTGTTGTCGTGGCCGGTCTTGAACTCCTGAGCTCAAGTAATCCCCCTGCCTTGGCCTCTGAAAGTGCTAGCCACCATGCCTGGTCTAACTTTTCTAATTAGTTATTGAGTCTTTTAATGTCCAATTTAGCAGAAAATCTTGTATTTTCCCCTGGGGCTGTCTCCTGTGTCTTCCTTCTTTGAATTTTCCAAGAAGCTAAGGGATTTCCTAAGTCCAAGGAAGGCAATCTTTCTTTGCAAGTCAGAAGAAGGGGAAAAAAAGGACATTCAAATCATTCTGTTGTTTCCATGGCCTCACTTGCTGTATTATTGCCATTGTCACTGGACCTGCAATCTGATAATGATTGACCTTTGCCACCAGGATGCCTTCACTGATTCAGACCTCTCAGTTTTCATGGTGATTCATATATACAGGTCAAAGCTACAGTGTTTATTAGTTTATGTACTTGTGCTCAGTTATTTTTCCCAGCACCCTGCTCTGGTAGCTAGGCCTCCTAGCTTTATCCACACAAATATTGAGCAAATTGATGCTCATCCTACACTGAAAACCTTATTTGGAGTCCACCTCTTAGCTAGACTTTGCCTAGGCCTTCATGGGATGTTATCCTTTGAGAGCCATGCTTGTCTTTCCTTTAACCAATATTAGTTGGTATTGTTCTCAATAGTCAGGGATGTTCAAATAATGTTGCAGGAAGAGATCAGAGTTCCGCTTCCCTTTTGCTGTCAGATCTGTACCTTGAGGCTTTTTTATATCCTGTGCAGCAGTTTTGGTTAGATACCAGAATGTTCCATGTTCTCTTTCCACTGAGTAGTGGGAACCAGCTTGCAGTTGGTGCCTCAAGTAATGTGTCTCTATATTCATGAAAATCTCCTGGGCTACTTGCAGCTCTTCCTCAAGTTTTCAATATATTTTAAAATTCTACCTCACAGGAAGCCATTCAATAAAATTCTCTGAATCTGAAGTAAGTGAGTTGGATTTGACAGAGCTAAGCCTCATCCATGACTCATGAGTATCCATGTATCAAACAGGGCTTTGTACTTATTTCAACAGCACATATTTTAAATTGGATCAATACAGAGCAGATAAGCATGGTTACTGCCTAGGGATGGCACACAAATTCAGAAAGCATTCCATATTTTGCATAGACCCAGGAAGGCCATTTGACTATTTGTTGAGTAGCTCCGAGGAAGCAGTGTGAGGAAAACCAAAACAGGTGACACGCAATATTGAAACTGTGATTATCACTGTGAAACTATTGATGTACAGTGATCTCTGAAATGGGAACAGAGCTGAGTAATAAGGGGATGTTACATGTTGTTAGTACATGTCTTGGAAATGAGAAAATGTCAACTTGCATTTCCTTCATGGAACTGAAAAACAATCAAGGCAGGGTTTTTTCTTGTCTGTTAGTTGGAGAGGACCATCGATATCCAGCAGCCAAGCACAAATCTGCTGGCTCAGAGTTTGAGGAGGTAGAGAAGGAGTGGTAGTTTTCCAAGCCAGGTTTTGACACCTATTAGTTTTCTGCCCTTGGTGTGATTGATGAGCTCAGTGATGAGCTCATTAAATTTATATGTATATAAATTTAGTAATAAGTTATGAATTAGGTAAAATGCCCTGAATTACAAGCCACAACGAATGCAAGTAATAACCAAAATTAGCACTTAATAACATTTTCTGAAAACTGCAACATTTGAATATTAGAACTTATAGAAAAACACACACCGAGCATTATTTGTGATTCCAAAATGGTTTCAGCAAGAAGGTTCAAGAATAAATTATTTCATTGCTTTATTATTTCTCTGAACATTTAAACATGTAATCTCATTACATCTTCCAAACAACCTAGTGAAGTAAGGTAGCAGAATCCTTATTTTTTAGAAGAAACCATGGAGCCTAAGAGAAGCAACTTGTCTGAAAACAAAATACCTACAGAGCGAAGTATTTTGGTTACAGAGCGAGGACTTACTCTGAGGGCAGGACAATTTGCATGATATCCAGCTAACTAGAGGTAATTTACTCAGCTGTGCTTCCTCCATTTATGAGTACTTCACTTTCTTTTCTTCTTTAATTATAAGCTTAATAAGCTTGTAAGTTTTAAAAATTTGAAGTGTATGGGACATTAAAATTCTGATACTAGGTCTGATACTGCCTAAAATGTTTTTGGAATTTAATATGTTTGGTAAATATTTTTTATTTCAGTATTAAAATAGCAATTTTATTTATTACTTTGGTATATGTAGAATTCAACAACAAATTTTGGAACATAAAAAGAAGATACTTAAAAAGGACAAACGAGGTAAGTCTTCTGAGAGTGAATTTCTTACTTCTCTTGGTGGTCCTACTCTTGATAAGAAAATAAGAAGTAAGACGTAAGATTAAGGTAGTGCCAGTCAAAAAAGACCAGTTTAAAAATATGTATAAATTCAATGTGTATATATGTATATACATATGTAAATTAATTTTTTAAATATAACTTCTTTAGTTTGAAATTCAGATTTATTTAAGAAGGTAGTTATAGCTAATTTATAATCTCAAACATTATGGTCTAAAAACATTCATTTATTTAATTATGATCCCTAAAACCCTACATAATATTTTTGAATAAATAAGAAAAAACATTTTTAAGTTAATATGTTGTATGTTTCCTCTATAGTCACATTATAACAAATTGGACTTGTTATACAAATGGATCTTCTATTTCATTTTTATAGTAAATTGTTTACATTTACTAAACAAATAACTACAGTTGACCCATGAATAATGTGAGGGTAACAATCCTGTGAGGTTGACAATCCGAGTATAACTTTTGATTACTTCACCTTAGCTAGTAATAGCCCACCATTGACTGGAAGCCTTCCTGATAACATAAACAGTTGATGAACACCTATTTTATTTGTGCTGCATTATGATGTACTGTGTTAGTACAATAAAATAAGCTAGAGAAATGAAGCTGTTAGAAAGGAAATCATCAGGAAAAACATATTGACTTTTCATAAAGCATTAGTAGTTCCTGGCAAAGGTCTTTATGATCTTCAGGTTGATTAGGCTGAGGAGGAAGAGGAGAGGTGGATCTTGCTGTCTCTGCATTGCAGAGGCAGAAGAAAATCTGCATATAAGTGAATCCCTGCAGTTGAAACCCTTGCTGTTCAAGGGTGAACTGTATTACATATTGATTTGTGTCACTAAGAAAGTAACTATCTTTAGAACCAGCAACTCAGCAATCCCTTTCTGGTACCATAAATAAATGGCAATAAGAACTGTAGAACTGAACCAGCGGGCACCCATACAAATAGGAGATTATTTTTTTTAAGATAGCTACTGAGCACAGAAGATGGAAAAGCAATTCCTCTGTGAGAAGCACAAGTTATATTACATATTCTTACACAAGCAAAATGATTTCATCTGTCATAGTTTACATGCATACACATACACACACGCACATGTGCACACACGTGTGCACACAGACACAAAGTTAAAAGTCCTGCTGATTCTTAATGACCAAATCCAACTGTTCATAGAGAGCGGTGGATAACACATCCTACTGTTTGGATGCAATTCTTTTGACTTTTTGACTTGTTTTGCCATGAATTGCCTTTAATGGGTTTAAATCATGTTTTTAGTTTTATGAGAAACAAAGAAAAAGATTAGAAGCAAGTAAACAGGAACTCTATGGTCAGTAGTAGATGATAATAGTATATTCAATAATCATATGTTTTTCTCCAGTTATACAATTTACTTGAATGATGCACAATTAATCAATTATTATTATCATAGCAGATGGGGTCTCTCTATGTTGCCTAGGCTAGAATACAGTGTCTGTTCATTGGTGCAATCATAGCTCACTGTAACCTTGAACTCCTGGGCTCAAGCAGTCCTCCTACCTCATACTCCTGAGTAGCTGAGACTACAGTTTTGTGTGGTTACATCTGGCCTGATACACAATTGTTTATTTGTTTATTTATTTTTGATACAGGGTTTCCCTCTGTTTCCAGTACTGGCATGCAGTGCTGCCATCTTGGCTCACTGCAACTTCTGCTTCCTGTACTTAAATGATCCTTTCACCTTTGCCTCCCAAGTAGCTGCGACTACAGGCATGCACTACCACACTTGGCTAATTTTCTTTTTAAGGGTGCTTTTTTGTTTATTTGTTTGTTTAATAGGTGAGGTGTCACTATATTTCCGAGGCTGGTCTGGAACTTCTGGGCTCAAGTGATCCTCCTGCCTCAACCTCCCAAAATGCTCGGATTTACAAGTGTGAGCCACTGCACCTGGCCTGCACAATTATTATAAAAAGGAATGAAGCCCAGTTGAGTTGCAGAAAATTGACCACTTTTTCATTTTTTTTTCTAAAAACATTCATGTTGTAGAACATATTGTCAATCACCCAGATTGTCTATTTTTTGTTCGGTTAAAAGAGGATTGCTCCTTATTTCACATTATTTTCTGACATTATTGTTTCATTTATTCCTTTTATGGTTTTATTCAATTAGATAGATATAGAAATACAAGAATCTCCAAGTCAAATATCAAGGGCAAAAAAGAAAAGAAAAACAGATTAGGGAAAGTTATTCTGTGAAATAACCATCTGATTACAGTTACATATATCATATCAACTTAATACAAATCTTACACAACACATTTGTGTCAAGGTTTCCCAAGACCACCCCAGGTTTGTTGGTTCATTAGAAGGACTCACAGGACTCAGCAAATAGTCATACTCAGATCTTTAATTGATAACAAGAAAGGGGACAAGCAAAATTAGTAGAGGAAAAAGTGCATGTGGTCAATTCTGGAGGAAACGAGCCACAAGCCTCCAGGAGTTCCGTTCTGTGGAGTTCCCTGGATCTGCTTAATTCTCCCAGGCTCACATTTTGACAACATATGTGCAGCGATGTCTACCAGTACCAGAGTCTCATTAGAGACTAAGTGCCCAAGTTTTTCTATGGGGGTTACTCTCCCTCTCATGTACCCAAATTCCAGACTCTTACAAGGAAAGCAGCTGTTCAGAGAAAACACACTGTTTCTATAAACACTTTAGACACAGTGAGCCACTCTTCTCAGGGAATGGTGGAAACCCTCCCAATTCTAATTTCCTAAACACCAGCCAAGGGCCAGCCTTGCATGCAGGCCTTTCTAAGGATGGCAGTCTCTTGCCTGTTATATGAAATCTTTTCTGCACACTTTGTATAGCTCCAACTTAATTTTTGGTGTTGTTTTAAAATTTCATTTTAATAATATAATATTATAAGATAAGGTAACTTGGTACTAATTTCTGTTGTATGATTCATCTTAAGTTGCAGCACTGGTTACTTTTTTGACTTTCGGTGTCGAACAGCTATTTGTACATAAGTTACCATAGCAATGTTAGGTAACTATAATCTGTCCTATTTATCTCATTTACCTTTCAGTAAAATTGTTAAATAAGCAAAATAATTTCTGAGTTAAAATTAGAATGAAAATTGTCTTTTATTTGGATTACATGAATAATCGAATTTTCATATTGTGCTAAAGCCCTGCTTAGAATTATGAAATAAGATAAAATATTCAATCATTTTTATCAATATTTTCTTACCTAAGCATGCAATTACATTTATTATTTTATATATTTTATATACTTCAATTTGAGAAATAATGACCACATGTTGTTACTTTGGTCTTCAATGATCTCTAATTTTTAGGGTCACCGTGTCTTGCTTAAATATATCATAGTAACAGGTTCAGTGAATATCTTTATGTTTTATTTTATTTACTTATTTTTTTTGAGACAGAGTTTTGCTCTTGTTGCCCAGGCTGCAGTGCAATGACACAATCTTGGCTCATTGCAACCTCCACCTCCCAGGTTCAAATGATGCCCCTGCCTCAGCCTACCAGGTACCTGGAACTACAGGTATGCACCATCATGCCCGGCTAATTTTTTGTATTCAGTAGAGATGGGGTTTCACGGTGTTAGTCGGGCTGGTCTCGAACTCCTGACCTCAGGTGATCCACCCACCTTGACCTCTCAAAGTGCTGGGATTACAGACATGAGCCACTGCCCCCAGCCATCTTTTTTATTTATTTATTTTAATTGTTGTTCTGGAGATCCTGGGATGCATAGACAGTGAATATCTTCTTTGTTTTTTGAGATGGAGTCTCACTCTGTCTCCCAGACTGCAGTGCAGTGGTGTGATCTTGGTTAACTGCAACTTCCACCTTCTAGGCTCAAGCTATTCTCCTGCCTCAGCCTCCCGAGTAGCTGAAATTACAGGTGCCAGCCACCATGCCCAGCTAATTTTTGTACTTTTATTAGAGACGAGGTTTTGCCATGTTGGCCAGGCTGGTCTTGAACTCCTGACCTCAGGTGATCCACCCACTTTTGCCTCCCCAAGTGCTGAGATTACAGGCATGAGCCACTGAGCCCAACTGAATATCTTTTTTAAATCAATAACCTTATTTCTTAGAGCAGTTTTAGGTTCACAGCAAAATTGAGAGGAAGGTACAGAGATTTTTCATATACCCCACGCCTCCCACACACGCATAGCCTCCCCCATTATTAGTATTTTCCACCAGAGAGTGGTTCATTTGTTACAACTGATGAACTTACATTGACACGTTATAGTCACTCAAAGTTCATAGTTTACATCAGGCCTCACTCTTGATGCTGTACATTCTGTGAATTTGGACAAATGTATAATGACATGACATGTATCTATTACTGTAATATTATCGACAGAACAGTTTCACTGCCCTAAGAAGTATACTATGCCTGTTCATCTCTCCCTTTCTCCCTAGGAACTCGTGGCAACCATTGATGTTTACTCTGTCTTCATAGTTTTACTTTTTTCAGAAGAGTCATATAGTTGGAATAAGAAGAGTGGATATCTTTTTGAATAGTTAAAAAATTAAAGCTCCATGGCAGTTGATTGTAGTCATTTAAGATGTTCTTTGTCCTTTTGTTTTTCTTTTGCTTCTTTATCATTGTAAAGAATGATGTATTCTGATGAGATTTGATTTACATACTTAGAAAACATGATTTGTATAGATATGTGGCACATAATAGAAAGGGTTGAGGAAAAGGACACCATGCCGTACCACACAGCACAAACTGGAGCATCTTGCTCTGTGAGGTGGGTCCAGATAGACTCTCTAGCAATGGAAGCGGACAAGTGCAAAGGGTTGTATTTTATAAAACTGGAATCACAAAATCTTTCATACTTACCTTCAGTTGGAAATAAGACCAGGCAGTGAATCCTATTAGGTAAATACATAAGTTCCTCACTGATCCTCTTCCTTTGAGGGATGAGGTTGACAACAGCCTGTATTATGATGACATGACTCACCTACAGCTAGATTCTGTCATGGGGGATGACAAGGGAGTTTTTCTTTATGCGAGGTGAAAAAAATTTTTTCTCCTACCAGGGAGAAGGGCAAGCATTAGAACATTCTGGTAGTAAAAAGGCATTGATAGTTTTATTTCTATATATTTTTTCACATCAGATAATACTGCCCGCAGCCTGCCATACCTCCCCAGCGTTTCTTCAGCTTCTCTCTGAATGTGGATAAGCTCTTAAAGGAGTGATCTTTCCAGTGGATCTTTCTGTGGGAGGTAAAATGGCAGGTGAATTTGGCCTTGTTATATGTAGGCCAGAGCAAATAGCTACAACCAAGGAAACCACCCAGCACCTTCCCCAGAAGAGTATTAGCCAGAGTAACAACACACTGATCTCTCTTGAGATCTTCTCCGCTGGTGGCTGGAAAGTCTTTGCAAGGATTCCTGTTTCTGGTCTGAGTCCTATGTTTTGTTGGTTTCTGGTGATATGGTGTTTTATTCTAAACTAAACAGTTTGAACTGAAGAACTAGAGAGGCTGTATTGTGTTATAACAAAATAAGTGCAGTAGCTCCCCCTTAACTGTGGGAGATACATTCCAAGACCCCCAGTGGATGCATGAAACCATGAATAGTACTGAATCACAAGCTGTTTTTCCCTATACATACATATCTATGAGAAAGTTTAATTTATAAATTAAATTAAATCTGATGTTATCTGTAGATAGGGTGTGAGAATTGAATTGTGTCATCAGCAGGAATGATTGCTTGTTTGTTGGTGGGGAAAAACTCTCCACACATTTGGTCACAGAAGCCTTCTTTGTTGATGATTGTTGCTGTGGTGTGACAGCAGAGAAAAACGTGTCAAGTATGTCTTTCTGCGCATATAGTGGATAAGGGGTACTAGTGTATACTCTGTTGTAATGGCCCCTCATATTTTGGTCCAGAAATCATGCTCTTTGACACTGTTGACTCATCACACCTGTTCTGCTAACAATACCATTTTTACTCAATCTCATAGGCTTTGGCTAGGATGACTTGTATACTGCAGTTCACTTGTAGATACCAAATTTTAATAAATTTATTCTTCTTTGCATCTAATAAATACAGAGGGAAGAGTTCTTACTGCATTAATTACCTACCAATACGTATAATGAATGTTAATTCTAATAAGGTCGCAGGCATGCTCCCAAAGGAATGCTTTGTAACAAAGCGTCAGTCTTATGCTTTAAAAAACCAAACCAAACCAAAACAACAACAACAACAACAACAAAAACAGGATCTAAAGCATACACACAAGTGTGCACAATTTTTTTATGAAGGTAGAGTCTTACTATGTTTCCCAAGCTGGTCTCAAACTTCTGGGCTCCTCAAGTGATCCTCCTGCCTCATCCTCCCAAGTAGTTTGGATTAGAGGCATGCATCACTGTGCATTCTTATGATTTTAATATTCTGTACATTTATTATTGATTTAAAATGCATTTTACCTTTTTCTTTAATAGATGTTGGAATTCCTGATGAATCTGCAGTCAGGTAAGATTTCATAGATTTAAAAAATTATGTTAACTAAGAAAATATAGATGGAAGAAACTAATATCTGTTGAGTGTTGTATTCTGGGCTAGACATCCTAATATGTTCTATGCATTTATCATCTCATAAAGCCATCATAACATCTGTGTTCCTATAACCTACTGTTAAATAAACAACTATGGATTAGAGCTGATTAATTGCCTCATGATCCCATAGTTAACAAAGTAGCTGGCCTGCAGTTTGACCATCAGCCTACCTGCCTTCCAAATCCTTTCTCTTGCTCCTCAGCATAGATTGATAGATATCTGTGCAGCCCTTGGATCAAAGTATAGGTCTGAATCAGATCAATCGGATTCATTAATTTGATTAACTTCTAAATTAATGAGAGTTTAAATACCTTGAACTCTCATTTAAGTTTATTGTTAGAATGTGGTTAGTCCTAATAAATTTGACGATTTCAGTGGTAACCAGTATCTTATTTTTACCTTCAAAGGCTCTAGGGCAGATCTGACTTAGCTTTGGCCATAGGACTGTAAGTTTTACCAAAGCAAGTTTAGGCAAGTCTTAGAGACAAATTATTTGACTTCCCAGTTTGGTTTTCCATTTAGGCAAGTATTTCTGCTTACTTCCATAATACATTTTTTACTCTTGTTGCTTTTTCCATGACTTTTATATAACCTTGTCTTCATTTTTTAAAACTTTCTTCTCTGTTTTTCTTGGTGTTTCTTTTGTTCTATTATTTTTTTCAAACTCTGCTGCCTATGTATTCCAAGTTTTTCTATAGACAGAATCAAGAGGACATAGAATTACAGAATTTTAAGGAATCTTAGAATGAATTAAAATACCTTCTAGTATTTTTATCTGCGTTGAACATTCTGGTCAAGTGATTCTCTAGATAGAGAATGTGAGGCTCAAAGAGATTAGGAAGCTTTTTTTTTTAGACATAGGAATTGGCAGAAATGAGATTTGAACTCATGGTAAAGCCCAGTACTCTTGCTTCTTTTTATGTCCTATTGGCGTGTGTTTTAATAATACAAACGGGAGTGAGCCTGTGGATAGAATGAGAATGGAATTAGCTGGTGAACCCAATAGAAGTAGATAAGAATGGAATGAGCAGGGGAAGTCCAAGTTTGAAGATAAACAACACTGGATTGGATAGGAGTACGGACTCTTCTACAAGAGATCAAAGTATTGGGGTTTATGACAAGTTTGATAAAGATAAATTATAAAAATGAAGGACACAAGATGTTGGGAATTATCTACAAAGGCACATTAAAATAGAAGGTTCAAGGGAGCTCTAAAAATTTTGCTGCTTTTTTTTTTTTTTAAATCAAGGACTGACAAACTTGAAGATTTTTACTGAAAGATGCCAAAACATTTTGAGACACTGGGAAGAATGTCTACAGCAGATAGAAATGTGGTGTCATCTACTTCCATCCTGACTTACAAAGGGGTGGCTTAGAGCCCCTGGAGTACTAAGGGGCTGGAAATTGCTGAACTACATAGATGTGTGGCACAGGGCAGGTGTCTCCTCACCTCTGCCTCTTTTCACAGTTCACTGATGTCCTTCCCATGTCCATGTGGGCTGGGTCAGGGGCATGATTAGCTGGCAAATCAGTCATGGAGTTCAGTTGGGTAGTTGGTAGTGTGTATAGCTGGTGGCAGGTGATGGAGACTCCAGTTAGCTTGTTTTTCAGGAGCAGGGATATAGAGAGCTCCTACTCTTGGTCATTTGAGGCCATTCTTTCAGGAATCTGTGCTTTCATACACTGAAGATTTGAAGATTGGAGACTTCTGTGGAACCCTGCAGAAGTAGAATCTGGAAGTGGGTGTCCATAGGAAGAAAGATACTTAGATAGTACTTAGGGAAATAGAGGTACAACTATCATGACTCTGTTTCTTTTCTCGCAGTCTCTCTCCTTGGGTGTCTGAGTGCCTATGAAAATTTTTAAGGGCTTGCTAGTTTATGTGGACCTGAATAAGGTAGGACCTATAGAGTGAAAATAATGGGATTTTATAATTGTTAATATTTTAATCTTTCTGGGAAAAGTATTCTCAATAAGAACATACACCTTTGCTATTTGACTTCTGTACATTTAGCTTTCATACATTTCAAATATTGTGGGGGCTTTCCTGTACCAATTTAGGGTAAAGGAAAGCAATAGGACCTTCCTAAGTTGGATCCATGCTGAGGAATCAAGACTACCATTTTGAAGTGATGTAGATTAGTCTTTTATCCAGAGACAAATCACGGAAAAGAGACAGTGGATCTTTCTACCTTGTTTTAGGTCATCAGTTTTATTCCAGTTTAGGGAACAAAATTTATGTCATCCATTAATTGAATTTTAAGTTCAGCTTCAGGACAGATAATTTGTGAGGGCACATTATTGTCAGGCTCTGCCAATATATTGACTGTCACTATTTGTTATAAACCTCAAGGTTAGTTTTCATTGAATATTTTATAGATTTAGACAGGTGGAGGCAGAAATAGGTAACTAAAATCTATTTTTAGAACAGAGGACATATTTTAATTATATCAAGAATCATAATTTAATATATAGATCACTGACCTTTCCCCAGATTATGTTTTCCTTTTTTTGAGGGGGAAGCTGGATATAAACTGGCAGTTAAAAAAATTGTAAAGAAATCAACTTGCTCATTTTCATTGTGTATTTTTGCTCTCAAGCATTTTGCATGAACTGTGTGTGGATTCATTGCCTACATTGGATGATGAAGACTTGAGTGTTGCTACTAAGGTAAAGTGGTCTCTTGTAAAATTAATCTTCTCACTCTGAGTGTAGTTTTGCATAGTATTTACTTTTCAAATTTAGCAGTGGTTTACCTGTCATTGTTTTATGGTGGTAATGGAAAGCTGGTCAGAGAAAAACATACACATGGCTAGTTGATTAAAAAAATGTGTTTAACTTTGGTAACTAATAAAGATTGGTAAGTACTGTGACAGGGTGGGAGCTGAAAAATAAATGAAGTGGAAAACAAGTAGTCACAGGAAAATCACGTTAGGAAATGCCTTCTCCAATAGAGGAAATACGAAATTTGGTTAAAGTTTATTTGGATAAATACTACTACTTTTACTTTTAAATCATACGTGTGTGACTTTCTTAATATTTATTCCTGTATAAATCTTCAGTGGATCAAATTGTTTGCAGTAATCATGGAATCCTCCTGGTAATTTTTAGTGGCAGAAATGTTCAGCACATAGCATATAGCTTTTGTTCTTGGAAATTTATCATTTTGGTGTCATATAGTTTTTAGGAGAGATTGTTTCTCTACTTATATTATTGGTTCTGTAGTGAGACTAAAAAAGTATTAAAAATTGTAGAAAAATAGCTGAGTTTGGTGGTGTACACCTGTAGTCCCTGCTACTTGGTAGTTTGAGACAGTAAGATTGCTTGAACACAGGAGTTTGAGAACAGCCTGGGCAACATTGTATCTAATTTAAAAATATAAATTGTGGAAATGTAGAAATTTAAATTTATGTTCTCAAGATTTGTATTGCAAAGGTATTTTTATGTGATTTATGAGTTGTCCATGAAGAGTTTATATAAAACACTTCATCTAATTGAATAACATGTATTTTCCTGCAAATAACCAGTTCTAGAAGCAGAGACTCTTAATACCAATATGGTAAGTCTTTATCATCATAATTTTGTCATTGTAGTTTATTTAAAATATTTACTTGGCCAGGCGTGGTGGCTCACACCTGTAATCCCAGCACTTTTGGAGGCCGAGGTGGGTAGATCACCTGAGGTCAGGAGTTCAAGATCAGCCTGGCCAACATGGTGAGACCCTGTCTCTAAAAAAAAAAAAAAAAAAAAAAAAAGCACAAAAATTATCCAGGCATGATAGTGCATGCCTGTAATCCCAGTTGCTCAGGAGGCCAAGGCAGGAGAATCGCTTGAACCCAGGAGGCAAAGATTGCAGTGAGCCAAGATCGCACCATTGCACTGTAGGCTGGGTGACAGAGCAAGACTACATCTTAAAAAATAAAATAAAATAAAATAAAATAACCAGTCAAAGGACTTATATCATATTCTGAAAGTTTGAATGTCAGAAGGTTTTCTATTTAGTTTTTTAAATGATCATTCATTGGAAGCTCCTGCATACCATAAGCTACTGGAGGTCAGTAAACATATTTGTGTGTATCCTGGAGTACCTAGAATACAGTCTTCCATGTAAGAAGCATTTTACTTGTTGTTTTTTGAGATGGGGTTTCACTCTGTCACCCAGGCTGGAGGGCACTGGTGAGATCTTGGCTCACTCCGATCTCCATTTCCTAGGCTCAGGTGATCCTCACACCTCAGCCATCCAAGTAGTTGAAACAATAGAGCTATGTCACCATAGACCTGTGTCACCATGCTGGGCTGAGTTTTGTAGAGATAGGGTTTTGCCTTGTTGCCCAGGCTCTTCTTTAACTGTTGGGCTCAAGTGTTCTGCTCGCCTCAGCCTCTCAAAGTGCTGGGGTTACAGACATGAGACATTCAGCCTTAATAGTTGTTTAATCTGAATAAATAAACAAATGAATTTTTATATAATGGAATGTTATAAGTAATATAATAAACCTAATGTATCTAATCATTAAATATTGTATTTAAAATATTGCTTACATTGTATTATTTTTTAATATTTAAGGGTGTATAAGTTTTGACATGTTATGTTGAGAAATTATGCCATAATTAAAAAGGAAATAAAAGAGAAATAGGTCATCGGTAGCAAAGAGGGTTACAAAATATTTTCTAGTATCATTCAACTGGAATCTTAACATTGAGATTTTAGATTAACATTTCTTAAGCTTTTTATTAGACCCAACTCATGTTCCATTAAATATACCATTTCAAGCCATACATTACTCTTTATTATTATTATTATACTTTAAGTTCTAGGGTACATGTGCACAACGTGCAGGTTTGTTAAATATGTATACATGTGCCATGTTGGTGTGCTGCACCCATTAACTCGTCATTTATATTAGGTATATCTCCTAATGCTATTCCTCCCCTCTCCCCCCACCCCATGACAGACCCTGGTGTGTGATGTTCCCCATCCTGTGTCCAAGTGTTCTCATTGTTCAGTTCCCACCTATGAGTGAGAACATGTGGTGTTTGGTTTTCTGTCCTTGCAACAGTTTGCTCAGAATGATGGTTTCCAGCTTCATCCATGTCCCTACAAAGGACATGAACTCATCATTTTTTATGCTGCATAGTATTCCATGGTGTGTAAGTGCCACATTTTCTTAATCCAGTCTATCATTGATGGGCATATGGGTTGGTTCCAAGTCTTTGCTATTGTGAATAGTGCCACAATAAACATACATGTGCATGTGTCTTTATAGCAGCATGATTTATAATCCTTTGCATATATATCCAGTAATGGGATGGCTGGATCAAATGGTATTTCTAATTCTTGATCCTTGAGGAATCTCCACACTGTCTTCCACAATGGTTGAACTAGTTTACAGTCCCACCAACAGTGTAAAAGTGTTCCTATTTCTCCACATCCTCTCCAGCACCTGTTGTTTCCTGACTTTTTAATGATTGCCATTCTAACTGGTGTGAAATGATATCTCATAGTGGTTTCAATTTGCATTTCTCTGATGGCCAGTGATGATGAGCATTTTTTCATGTGTCTGCCATACATTACTCTTTAGAATTCTGGTGACCAATTCTTTTTCTGGGTGGAAAGTTGATGGAAAGTTCCAGTTTTCTCTCTCTGTTATAATAATGTTCTTTCAGGTAATGGTAGATGACCATATTTAGCTAATTGAATGTCTTATAGTAAGAAACACTATCACAGAAGTACTTACAAAAAACTAATTGCAGCATAAATATTAATTAGTATTATCAGAGTTATGAAAGACCGAAGGCTCTGTTATAGATCTATTTCCCCATGTACTTTATTGTACTTCATGTTTTTCGTTTTCTTTCTTGGCTTAAGCTCATATTTCATTGACTAATTAGGCTTGTTTTTTGTTTGTATCTCTCTTTGTTCTCACATTTTAAATTGAAATTTTTGGGGAGGCAGGGTCTAGCTCTGTTGTCCATGCTGCAGTGTAGTGGCATGATCTTGGCTCACTGCTGTATCCACCTCTCAGGCTCAAGTGATCCTCCCACATCAGCTTCCCAAGCAGCTGGGACTACAGGCACACACCATCATGCCTGACTCCTTTTGGTATTTTTTGTGTAGAGATGTGTCCTCATTATGTTGCCCAGGCTGGTCTCCAACTCCTGAACTCAAGCAATCCACCCACCTTGGCCTTGCAAAGGGCTGAGATTACAGGTGTGAGCCACCGTGCCTGGGCAACATTGAGATTGATTTAAAGAAATTGATTAGGGCTGGGTGTGGTGGTGCACAATGCTTATCTCAACATTTTGGGAGGCAGAAGTGGAAGATTTGCTTGAGCCCAGGAGCTTGAGACCAGCCTGGGAGGTATAATGAGGCCTTGTCTCTACAAAGATAACAATAAAAACATTAGCATGACATGATGGTATGCACCTGTAGTTCCAGCTATTCAGGAAGTTGAGGTGGGAAGATTGCTTGAGGTCAGGAGTTTGAGACCACAGTGAGCCATAATCAGGCCCCTGCATTCTAGCCCTGGGTTGACAGAGTGAGACCCAGTTTCATAAAAAGAGATTGATAAGAAACTCTTGATGCAACTCATTATAATTTTAAATGGAAACTAATTCTTGATATTACCTTAGCAGTGTGTCCCCCAGAAAGTGTCAGAGCCTTTACGTGGACCTTCTCATGAAAACGGAAACAGAATAGTCAATGGAAAAGGAGAAGGTGAGAACCGTATTTTATTTAAAAAGTCATTTGATGGAGACCAGACGCGGTGGCTCACGCCTGTAATTCCAGCACTTTGGGAGCCGGAGGTCGGCGGGTAATGAGGTCAGGAGATCAAGACCATCCTGGCTAACATAGTGAAACCCCATCTCTACTAAAAACACAAAAAAATAGCCGGGCATGGTGGCGGGTGCCTGTAGTCCCAGCAACTCGGGAGGCTGAGGCAGGAGGATGGTGTGAACCTGGGAGGTGGAGCTTGCAGTGAGCGGAGATCGTGCCACTGCACTCCAGCCTGGGTGACAGAGTGAGACTCCATCTCAAAAAAAAAAAAAGTCATTGATGGAATGTTTCTTTTAAAATATGAGCACTAATAGAGTTTAATAGCTAAAGAAAATGTCCTATTAACTGTATCATAAGTAAAAGAGAAATGAAATGGTGATAAGTGGTGTCTCTAACCAAGGGTCAGCAGTTGATTCTATTGGAAGTACCACTAAAGGAGCTGAGTTATGAGTTCCATTTTAACATACTCTAAGACCTGAGGCAAGTCAGGAGAGAGGGAAGAAGAAATGAATAAAAGAGAAAGAAAGAATGAGGAGGGCAGAGTGTACATGGAATAAATAAAAAAAAGTGGATGTATGTAATGGAGGGTAGTAAAGTCAAATTGATCTGTAGAAGAAGGAAGAACAGGGTGTTAGAAATAGGAAGGAAGATAAAGTGAGCTTCCAGTACCAAAATGTGTCATATAATTACAGTAACATTTTCCTTCTCTTGCTGTCATTCTTGCTACTGGGGAGGCATTAAGGATTGAGGTACTTTACCATGCAGACCTGTGTTTTATCTACCATAGATGAACATCACCGTAAATGGTCAGCCATGTATGGCTATAATTTGTTTTTATAGAAAATGAAAAGAATAGTGTTGGGTGATTTATTGGGAAGAAATTAATTAGAGAAGCTTTGCCTGATTAAAAGTTCATTAGAAACATTATGGCTTATAACGTAGTATTAAATTCAGGGACATAATAGGAAAGAAGTTGAGGCTAGGCCAAAAAGGCCAATTAGGGTAAACCAATATGGAAGCACACCAGTGTAGAACAGGGCATTCAAATTGTCATGAATTCGTTGAGGAGCTTCTGGAAAGTGCACATTCTGACTTAGCAGGTATTGGAGTCTGCATTTCTCATGAGCACTCAGGTGATGTTTGTGCTGGTCCTTGGACACAGCTCTGAATAGCAAGGGAATAGCCTTCCTTTAGAGAAATCTGGAAAAAGAACCACTGGAGAGCAATTTAAAAAATAACAGAATCCAGGGAAAGCTTTAATTTCCTTTTATTTCTGAGCATGATTCTAGCCACAAGGGAAGGAAAATGAGATGAAAAAAGAGAGATTACAGGTGTATACTACTGCTGAATACAGATGAAAAAAGTGGTCACAATCATCCATAAAAAGCAGTTAGGAAGGGAAGCATCAGGATGACAGTTCTGATAATCATTTTTTCAAAGGAAGAGGGATGGTGAATGGACACAAAAGGAGGAAAGAAAGACATTTGCTGGGGTCTTGGGAGTTAAAGCCAAGTAAACTTGAGACAACTCACTTCCAGTTGCTTCAGCATATGCCCAGTCTCACAAAAGAGGTTATTGCTGTGGAGAGTACTGGAGACAGGAGGGAGTGCTAGAGTTGGGGTAAACCACAGCAGCTCATTTCACTTGATAACTGTCAGGCCTCAGGGAGAGAAGTTTCACTGACATGAGTGAATAAGATATGATTAAGTTGCATATAGATGCTTTGGCGAAATTTTTTTGAGACAGCCAGTTCTTTGATATGATAGCTGTTTTATAAAAGTCCTTTACAGTGTAAGATAATATACCAAACTTAGTTAATTTTAGAAGTAATCATAAAATTCATTCCATGAAAACCAAAATTATCATTTTCAATAAATACTGCACTGATTTTGAAATATAAATATGTATTAATATCCAGCAAGTCTGTGGTCATTCAATGTTTTCTTTTTTGATAAATAATTTGATATCAGAAGCTTATTCGACATGGTTTATTTGATGTGTTTTATGGACCACCTTGCATGAGTGGATCAAGGAGCTCTAATTCAAGGCCAAATGAGGGGATAGGAGAAATGTAGGTGCTGCAGTAGCCCATGTGATCATGGGAAAAATGAGTACTTTGATTAGCTGTTATTTCATAAGTGTGTATCCTAGCTGATCAATGTAGAACCCTTTCTTTGATGAGAGGTGAATCCCACATTCACCTGAACTGTCATCCCAACTGAGTATTTCCTCAGTGACAAGACAAGGGGAATTTATTTGTGCTGTGCTGGCAGCAATGCCTCTGGTGTGTGGAGTTAAAATACTCTGTACATTCACCATCAGCTTTGACATTGATTCTCTCAGGTTTGATTTGCCCCTCTGTTTAATGGTCCCTTTTCTCCTCATTAGTCCACGTGTTCACGGTTATATCAATGCTTTTCTATTTTAAGTATAGGCATTTGAAACATAATCTCACTACTGAAATGTAAACTGTGCATTTTGGGAATCCTATATTCCTATTTTCCTCATTGTGTTTCTGTCATGTTGCTGTCCTAGGCAATAAAAAGACGAAGCCAAGAAGAACCCTCAAAACCTTAAGTAAATATTTTTATAGCCAGGCCTGAGAATTCAGCTCGACAGTAACACTGCATGAATGTTTGGTTGGTCCTGTCATACTTACATATAATTGATGACATATCCCCTTTGCTTTGTAGGGCCTTCTGCAAAACATCCTTCCTTGAAGATAATTAATTATGTATATTTTTGAATCACTAACTCCATGTTGTATAAAATATATATGATTTATGAATCGTTTTCTTTTAAAACCCATTCAGCCTAGCACTGAAGTGGAAGATCCTGCTGTGAAAGGAGCAGTACAAAGAAAGAAAGTACAGACATTGAGAGCAGGTACATTTGATGGAATACTGGAAATAAAGTACAGTCAATGATTGGATGTACTCATATTATTCTTATTCCTAATTCTATTTGTTCAATATTGAACAGAAGGCATTGACATAAATGTTATTGTTGGTATCCATATTTGAATAAAAACAAATTTAGAAGCATAAAAAAGATTTTAAAAATGTAAGCTTTAAGTCAGATGTTTCTGTTTTAATGTTTTGAATAGCATGAAGTTTTCAGTATAAAATTTTTATACTTGTCAGGGATTCAAAGCAGTGAATTTTGAGACTCTTAAGATATTTCCAGTGAGTTAAGTGCTAGTTGGAGTTCTGATCTTTACCTAGAGGAAAGCTTTACCTATTAAAGTGTCAGTTTCTGTTTTAACTTCAGAGGCTTGCTGCTAGTGTTATTACACTGATGATCTGAAGCTTATCAGATGTTCTAATGAGCAAGACTGTGTGTGTAGGTGTATATATAGATGTGTGTATGCGTGTGCTTGTGGCATCTTTCACTATTACAAATGACGAAAGTAATGATTCATTTATGACTGGTAGACACAGTCTTTTAAAATGGTGATTTTGAGCCTTTTTAGTGTTAAAGTTTTTAAAACATGATTGCATAGAGGCTACCAACATCATAAGTTGGTTGTTTTTCATTTCAATGCCCTTTTGAAATCTTTAACTACATTGTGATGCCCAGAAATAATATGCAGAATTTTTTGTGTCCTAAAATAGTATGTGAGTGGTTATATACTTTATATACCTTTCTGCCACTTTCTTTGGTGTGTTTTGTATTATATTTTCCACTTGTACCCACATTGGTGTGATTATCTCTGGTTTAATTCATTTTACACTGTTCATTGTATTCCCTCATACCACTTTACCACATTTAGTTAGACTCTCCTGTTGCTGATAAATGAAGAAATAAAAAGAAAAATAATGTCAGTTTAAGAGGGCTTTTCTTTAATCAGTTTGTATCTATTAGCATTTACTATATGAGAGTTTAAACCTGAAAAGTTCAGAATACAAGCATGCACCACCATATTTTATTAATGCCCTTAGAACTATGACTCATGAGCCTTTAGCCTATGAAGTTAGGACAATTCATTTCTCTGAAGAAGAATGCTGGGCTGTTCTCAGAAAAGAAAACTGAAAATAGCAAATGATATTGTCTTATTTTACCTCTTGGACATCCTTGAATGAAACTGCTACTAAAGGGATACTCGGATCAAAATTCAGATCTAATGTTTTGAACAGTATAGTTTGTGAATGTCCAGTGATCATGAGCCCTTGATGGGGAAATGACCTTTCGAGTTTCACTTTTGCATTTTTTGCTCGTTTCGTTGACTTGTCTTGAAAGCTTAAATTCAACTATTTTATTTTTACAGAAATCAGGAATATAACTTTTAAAATATATGTCTGTCCTGTCTCACGGTGTTGTGTACTCTTCAGATCTTGTATGAACATAGACTTATATGGGAACAATTAGGTTTTTTGTTTGTTTGTTTTTGTTTTTGAGACAGAGTCTTGCTCTGTCACCAAGGCTGGAGTGCAGTGGCTCAGTCTTGGCTCATTACCACCTCTGCCTCTCAGGTTCAAGCAATTCTCCTGCCTCAGCCCCTCGAGTAGCTGATACTACATGCACGTGCTACCATACCCTGCTAATTTTTCTATTTCTAGTAGAGATGGGGTTTCACCAGGTTGGCCAGGCTGCTCTTGAACTCCTGACCTCAGGTGATCTGCCCACCTCGGCTTGCCAATGTGCTGGGATTACAGGTGGGAGCCACTGTGCCAGCTACAAATAAGATTTTTAAGGCTGTTATATTTTATACAATTCTTTGGTCTATGTGAATTCTGAAGGTATTCATGCATTGAGGGAAGATTATCTCAGTTTAATGAAAGCAGTTTTTAATTTAAAGTATATTCATTAAATTTTTTTTGAAGTTTTTTTCTCTAGTACACAGAAACACACAATAGTATCATGGGTATTTGACCTTAATGTGTTTATGCACAAACTTAGTTATTCAAATATTTTCCTATCCCTGAAGAATCTTAATTACTAATAAACAAATTTCTCATGGAAAACAACATATATAACAGAGATGGTTGAGTGATTGAAAGTAAACTGTAGTAAATACCAGAAGCTTAGAACAAGTTAAGTAAACTTGTCTGAGTTAATAGCAATTACAAGACTTTTAAAATACATTGGACCACGGGGGAGTAGTGCATTTGTGGGGTAGAGGACAACATGGTACTGCTTCAGTGAAGAAAGAACTTTTACACCTTATTACAATTTGTATTATTATTTACATTCTAATAAATAAAAACTTTATTTTCAGATATTTTACATCATGTTTCTACTAGTTGAACCATCAATAGTAAGACTTTTCAAAGATTTGGGAAGTTGTGAGTTGATGATAAATATCTGTATCACCATCAGTGATCAAAAATCAGACAGCAACTACCATAGATTTTGGACATGCGAACTTCATAGTTAAAGAAAGGATTAATCTTGGAGCTGTGTTTCTATCAAGGAATTACACTCTTCATTACCTGTGTGAATCGCAGTTATTAGAGTAGAAAGAGAGCAAAGAAGGGAAAGAAGCATAGAAAATTTTATTCTAGATTACCTCGTTTGGCTTCATGCTACCATAGTTCTGACTTTTAAAGAGTCATTTTGTGGTCAAATATACTTTGTGTTCACTCCCCTTATGCAGCCTACAACCAAACAGAATGGTTCTTAGCAAGGCATTTGTATTCTTCCCTTAAGGAAAGCAACATATAAATAAGAAAGGGAATGAGAAGAAAGAGTGATTTCATTGAGGTTGGTATTTAACATAAATTTGAGTACAGGTACCATGATTATATTTAGAATTTTGTGGCTGGATGGGAAAACCAGCTAGATGTCTATAGATTTCCTACTCAAACACAATGTGCCTTTGTTTTACTTTTACGTCTCTAATTTAGCAATTATTAGGTACAACTGTATGCAGTGTCACTAAAAATACCTCCCAAAACCAAATATTAAATAATGTCTATGGCTTTCTGTTTTATAGTGTTGATTTTCCCAATATTAATGGGAACCACTGAGCATTTGCCTTGTGGTGTCTCCTCAGCTGTATTCACATATTCCATCACCTTTTCTTAATGGATAATCACGCACTATGAGTAAGGGTTTTCAGAAAAGCTGTGTCATTTAAAGATAACACAGGAGCATCAAATTTAATTCTGCTAGGACGCCTGGTCTACTGATTAACTGCAGCTAATATGAGGTCTACTTCACATCCAAGTTAAATTCAGTGCCCTTAATCAGTCATATGATGAGGTCAACAGTAATAAATTATGCAATATTTTTTCACCCACCCCTATAGTTTTAATTTCTTTTTCCCCTTATGTCTGTGTTTAACATTTTGCTTTGCAAAACATGATGATAATCTTCTAGAGTAGTGAGGACAAGCTATAAATCCAAAGTTTCTTACCTATGCAAATGACTTGTTTGCTCTATTTTCTCATGAGCTTGGTAGATCCAGGGAACAGAACTTTTAAAACAAAATCCCCATATGTTGCTGGGTGCGGTGGCTAGTGCCTGTAATCCCAGCACTTTGGGAGGCTGAGGCGGACAGATAACTTGAGGTTGGGAGTTTGAGACCAGCCTGACCAACATGGAGAAACCCATCTCTACTAAAAACACAAAATTAGCTGTTCATGGTGGCACATGCCTGTAATTCCAGCTACTTGGGAGGCTGAGGCAGGAGAATCGCTTGAACCCAGGAGGCAGAGGTTGCCATGAGCTGAGGTCACACCACTGCACTTCAGACTGGGCAGGAAGAGTGAAATTCCATCTCAAAAAACAAAAACAACCACAACCACAACCACAACCACAACAACCACCACAAAACCCAAATGCATTTCCTTGGCACAGTAAAACTGAAACAGAAAAAGGGTAAAGTAAATACAAGTAACTGAAAGAGTTTATGTATATTACTTTACTTCTCATTTGATTGATAAAATTTGTAAAGTAATGAGCAGAGTGTATTTCTCCAGGGACCGAGATATATACATTTATTTATTCAATAGAAATTCATTCTTATAATGGCCACTGATACCTATATCCTAAATATTTCTGAAAACATCTCCTCAGGCCTGCATCATCTTTGCAACATTGCCTTATATTTTATCTTTGTTCATTGATTTATATGCCTCAGAATTTTATGCTCCTCACAGTATTTAGAGTGAATTATCCCTAATGCAAATAGATCCGTGAATCACTCCTGAATACCTAATGTCTAAGCATCTTAAAGGTTTATATAAGGATTTCAGAAACTGACTTCTGGGTTGGGCACGGTGGCTCATGTCTGTGATCCCAGCACTTTGGGAGGCTGAGGCAAGTGGATCATTTGAGATCAGGAGTTCAAGACCAGCCTGGCCAACAAGGTGAAACCCCATCTCTAATAAAATACAAAAATTAGCAGGTGGTAGTGGCACGCGCCTGTAATCTCAGCTACTCAGGAGGCTGAGGTAGGAGAATTACTTGAACCTGGGAGGCCGGGTTGCAGTGAGCTGAGATCATGCCACTGCCCTCCAGTCTGGGAGACAGAGTATAACCTTGTCCCAAAAAAGAAAAGAAAAGGAAACTGATTTCTGCCCAAATCTCCATCTGTATCCCTTTCCCCATCTGCCTTTTTCTCTGGAATTACTGAGCTGCTGGTAATGGCCCCCTCACCATTCCTCTTCTGCAGAGAAATACATACGCTCTTGGAGGCTTCTCTTCCTCTCTTGTTGCTGCCTGGCATGTGCTCACCCTTTCCTGCCCTCTGCCTCGCTTAATCTGGCTAACCTCACTCTCTAAGTCTCAGCTCATGGATGATCTTTAGGAAAGCCATCCCTGACAGCTTCTATTTTCCTTCCTTATTCCCCAGTGCCTAACACTTAGCAGGAACTCAATAAGTAATTATTTAGCAAAATTAAGACTGCTTATACAAAGATGATTCAAAAGATTATCCTCTACAGTCTAGCAGCAAAGGGGTCAACATGTAAAGACATGATGTGCAGGTCAGGTGGTAAAGTGACACTAGAAAAATTGACAAGGTACTAAGGGACCCCAACGAAGCAGACACCTGTGTGTGTGGAGAAAGATACCTAGAATCAAGGAAGATTTCACATAGCATTCTGAGCCTTTTTTTTTTCCTCTTTTTGGAGACAAGTTCTTACTCTATCACCCAGGATTGGAGTGCAATGGCATGATTGAGACTCACTGAAACCTCAGACTCCTGGGCTCGAGGGATCTTCTCATCTAAGCTTCTTGAGTAGCGGGGACAACAGGAACATATCACCATACCTGTCTAATTTTTTGTAGAGTCAAGGTTACCTATGGTTCCCAGGCTGGTCTTAAACCCTTGGCCTTGAGCGATTCTCCCATTTTGGCCTTCCAAAGTGCTGGGATTACAGATGTGAGCTATTATGCCCAGCCTACTTTCTGAGTCTTAAAAGATGAAAATAAATTTTTCAGAATAGCAGGGGAAAACATTTGTGATGTAAAAAATGGGGTGCACACTAATTGAGGTATAAACAACAATAATTTTGCAAATTATTAGTAACTGCCAACTCAATTAGTGTCTTGTTAAAAAGATACTGTTATGAAGTATAATAAAGCATTACGTTGTATATTTTGACTGTATTTCAAATTTCTGTTTTGTTTCCAACAGTTTTGTTGACTTATGTTGGGTGGAACAATTTGTGAGTGACCCTGAGATTTTACATGGCTTGAATCTGGTGATATCTGGTGTCTCCCCAAGTGGTTTGTTGAAGTTTTGGATAATTAGAAGTATTTCTTACAGAAGTAAATATTTCAGTAAACATTGTTTCATTCAAACTCTCAAAATATAAAATACAAAGAAATGTTATTCTCTATTTATTTTTATAAAGATTATAGTCCTTATCTAACTCTTCTTAGTTCATTTGAACTAAATCAATGACTTTGTCAACAGAACAAACCTTACCAGTGGCTTTAGAGGAAGAGCAAGAAAGGTGTGAAAGAAGTGAAAAGAAGCAATCACAGGTATATGAAAATTTAAGTTCTTGTTTAATATTAGGGGTTTTTTTTGCTTTACTAACAAAGCATAGTCCAAATGACATGACCTTTCAGACTATACCTTTAGAATCCAATAGATCATAATTTTATATTTAATTTTTAAAACATCTTAACCAGTTATGAAACTTAAGATATTCTTACTATCTCTAGTAACTATTAGTTATTCTAGTAATTCTTAGTATCTCTAGTAATTCATAGCTGTATTTACCCTTAGAATTGAGGCAAGAAATTTTCAGAATTATCTTGCTGTTTTATTTATATAACCTTACTCATAATACACAAGGTAACATGAAGTATTGGGTCATATTACTGAGGAATATAAATTATGAACAGTTTAACAACAATGGCCACTGAGTTAAACTAGTGTTAAAGGAGTCATCATTGCCAGTGCTTCAAATGTTGCAGTTTTATATTGCTGGTCACCAGTGCCGAGGTTAAAGATTTATTCTGTTTTGTGGTCACCAGTTGACTTCTGTGTCTGTGTTCAGGGAGTGAATGGGGTCATAAAAGTCAATGCAGTTGCCTATTAAGAGAATCCTACCTTGCAGAATGGGACCTTTGGTGTCAGGGTGTGAACAATAACTTTATTTCAACATAAATACATAGTAAACATTACTGAAATTTTAAAAATCCAAACCCTATCACTACTGGAACTTAAAATATATTAGAAGTGGATATAAGCAGAAATTCTATCTAGATACATAACACTATCATAGTATATCATTTGAATTAGAATTTAAAATTTTACTTCTCTTTCTTATTGGTGTTCAGTTTAGCTCTTAATAATTTAGTGTTTGCCTAGTGCTCTAGTTAATCTTCAGAAATAAACATGCACTGTAGGGGCTCACTCTTTCTGGTATGCTGAGGTAAAGTCTTTGTAAGAGAGGAAGCTTTTATAATACTACCTATCATCTTTGAATTCATTTCTGGTAGATTTTACACAAATGCATTAAGTTTAGTCCAAACAGACAGTGAGAGTTCAGCTTGCTGGTTCATGTTTCTGTCCTATGTTAAGCCAAAGCAAATTATTTTTCACTTTTTAGTTACAATCCCATAATTTAAGAGTAGCAACACATAGATTAAGTTTCACAGTTAAATTTTAATTATTTTCTAATATTTCTTTGTTTATACTTGATTAAAGCTAATTTTAAAACATGCACTCTGACAGAAAAGACATCTGAGAAACAAAACAAGCAAATTTGTTTTCCATTTTGCACCTGCCCCCCACCAAAAAAAGTCTCAAGAACCAGAACTGGGTAAGAACAGTGATAAAGGGAATCAATCTATATATTCATGACTTTCTTTAAAATTCATTACAAACAAGTTCAAGCTGAATATTGGTAAAAGTTCTGAAAACTCCAAAATTACTACTTGCCCTGAGGAAGAGCTCCTACATGGTAACTCTAAAGAGGGATGAACAAAAAAGGAGTGCCCTCTAGTCTGATGAATCATGTCCCTGATTGTGAGGAGAAAAATGTATCTGGAGGGTCTAGCTCTGTGGCAGTCCAGGCAGCGCCTGAACAGAGGAAGCCCATGTCAAATGTCTTTTTATTCCATTCACACTCCAGGTCCCTGAAATACACTTACCAGTCATCTTCTAAGCTTCATTTAATTTAAAATAAATCAGACTATAAAAATGATAACAAACCAGACACACAGCTTGTTTCTAACACAGATGATGGAAATTTTTGTTATGATATAGAAACTGAAAAAGTAAGGAACCCAGTAATTATGATTGAAATGAAAGATGATTAAGAGTTTGACATGCAAATGGAAAAATATATAAACCCAAATACCACTAATTGGAAATTAGGCATTGGTCTCAGTCTAGAGATCCAGAAAGCCTTTTTGATTTGTGGTTTACCCACCCCAAAGAAATGAAGCATATGATTCAGATAGAAAGTCACAGTATTTCTGCTGCTACAGATACTTATAAAAACAGAAAACCAACACAGTGCTTATTCCAGAAGCCGCTGTATGACAATCCCAGTGTTAATAACTACAAAACCATGAATCTTGAACTATAAAATGCGGGTTATTCTTTGCCACATAGTGAGAGAACATCAAAAATATAGCTAGAAGACTTACAGCAAGATATTTCAAGGTCACCAAGATATCACATATATACATATGTAACAAACCTGCACATTGTGCACATGTACCAGAACTTAAAGTATAATAATAGTAAAAAGAATGAGGTAGGCATGTTACAAGTAGAGCTCCTGGCTTTGGAGAAACAGAAAGTCCAACTTCAAAAAGACAGAGGTTCACTTGCTGCTTCTTTTTTCTCTTTATCAATTATATGATTTAGTCAAATTTTCTATTCAAGAAAATCTCATGTGTACAGTTACAGCGGGGTTTTCTAAATGTGTAATTATGTGTCAAAGTAGATTAGTCCTGCTATCTAAACAATGGTTCTGGAGAATGTTCTCATAATGTTTCTTCATTAATCAACCTAAGTCTCACTCTCAGTCTTCCAAGTGGCATATGAGCTGGGAAACTAATTCAGCCATATACCACGTGACCTTCTGAATGAGATCAACATAAAGAAATTGCTAAAGAAATAAGCTTTAGATTCTAGATTCTTTTTTCTGTATTCATTTAGAGATGAATTACATTTATTTAATGATAGAATGGGAATACAATGGGAGGAAAGCAATGACTGAGACGAGCCACAAAAACACGTCTAGCCTTGAGAGTTGCTATGAATATTCCCAGCCAAATGAGTCTGTTTAATGTATTTTCATGCATGCAAGTTCATCTGCTTAGCTCAAACTGTTTGAACTTATAGTTCCATCATGGTTATTTCCAATATTTTGAAAACAAATATATACTTCCACATATTTTAAAAAATCACCACTCCAATATTTCTGTTGAATCAGTCCTTACATTATGTTGTTTAATAAAGTATCATAAGTTTTGGCATGTGTGATTTTTATCATGTAAGAAGCATAATTTCTTAGATAAAAATTTATCCTTTGATTCTTTAGTAGAAAGTTGAGTTCTGTACATTGTGTCCTAAAGATAGACAAAATCTAGAGATTTTCTTCTTCAAAGTAAAAGCAGATGAGGCCTTTTTCCACCCTCTGAGGCGTTAAATTGCTTTGCTCAACTTAGACTTTTAATATATCTGACTAATTTGATAAATTTATTTGGTAATTTATGTAATTCAGCAATATGGAATTGTATCATGTTATTTGGTGCCATGAAATGCTAGAGAATGCCACCTCAAGAGCTCTCGATGAAACATTTCATATGTCTTTGTTAGTTTGACTCCCATTTTCAGTAGATAATGGGGCTAAAGTAGATAACTGTACCGTATGTTTTCCACCTATAAACTTTTCTGATAATTGAATGTGAAATCTGGGAAGCATGTCGTTTTCCAGAATTCTGCACTGGAAACACAGCAGTTTCACTCTGCTTCTTGTGTTGTGGCAAACTTTGGTTCCCATAGTTCAGGGAGAACTTTCACTTTTTTGATATCCCAGAATTAAAAAAAAAAGAGATAAAAGGCAGTGGGGAAAAGAATAGCTCAGTGTAGAAAAGGGAAAACTTCTTTACTGTTCCTGAAGCCCTACAAGGTCACATCCTCTTAATCTGGCTATTTCATGTAAAATCCAGGTGGCAATGACAGAAGATATATGTTATGCCTGTGTCTTTTTATTTCTCTGTTTCTGCCAGTCAGATAACATAAATATTTATATCAGATAGCAAAGAGTGGATGGGAATAAAAGCACAAAATGGAGAAGAGTCCTTTTTGAAATTTTGGAAAATTCTTCTATTCACTCAAACAGAAATGAGCAGACTTGACAAAAATTTCAATGATAAAATGATGAGTATCTTATAATTATAATAATTATGTATAATGATAAAATTAAAGTAAGCACAAAATATTTTTATCATTAAAACGGTGATAGTTAACCTGAATCAAGTGAAAAAATCAGGGAAAAACTTCTTTTTATTGAATAAAATAATAATTATTATTCATATTACTTTTGTTAAAGGTCAAAGAAGGAAATAATACAAACAAAAGTGAAAAAATACAACTATCAGAAAATGTATGTCATAGTACATCTGCTGCTGCTGCTGACAGATTAACCCAACAAAGAAATATTGGGAAAACCTATCCTCAGCCTTTTACCAAGAAGCTGAAGGAAGAGCATCATAGGTAAGTAAGCCTATAGCAGTGTTTATTTATTTATTTATTTATTTATTTATTTTTTGAGGTGGAGTTTCTCTCTTCTTGCCCAAGCTGGAGTGCAATGGTGTGTTCTCACCTCACTGCAACCTATGCCTACTGCATTCAAGTGATTCTCCTGACTCAGCCTCCCTAGCAGCTGAGATTACAGGCGTGTACCACCATGCCCAGCTAACTTTTTGTATTTTTAGTAGAAATGAGGTTTCACCATGTTATCCAGGCTGGTCTCGAACTCCTGACCTCAGGCGTTCTGCCCATCTCGGCCTCCCAAAGTGCTGGGTTTACAGGAGTGAGCCACCGTGCCTGGCCACCTATAGCAGTATTTCGCAGCAGACAATTGTCATTGTGCTATAAACTAATTCAAAATTGGACTAATATTCCTTATGATTAACAAGTTTTATATTTTCACCAGAGATATTTAGCCCTGCCTGGTAATCAGAAAAGTGCAAATTAACATAAAATAAGATATATTTTGTAAAGTCATGCTGGTATTGAAAAAGTAATTACTACCATTGGCAAATGTGAGGAAAAAGGCATTCTCATACACTGTTGGTATATGAAATTGGTAAATTATTTCTGAAGGGTAACTTAGTGCTGTGTATCAAAATTTCAAATAACCTGACATCCCTTTAACTCAACAACTCCACTTCTGGGACTAGATTTCACAGGAAAACATAACTTGTGTAAACATACACTTATTAAGGGCATTAATTATATATTACACATAATGAACAATAGCTTAATAAATACATAAAATATATGTAATAAGAAGGTGAATTGGAAGTATTAAGAAAGAATTATAAAAAGTGTGGGGTAACAGATGTTAGACCCTTTAGCCTAGTTTTAGTTGACAATCATCTGCAGATATAGTTTGTGTGAGAGACATCTTACTCTGTAAATCATTTGGAGAGACACCTGCAATATTTCATAAAGATGAAAATTTATTTCTAGTGAACTTATACGCTTGTCAATAAATAGTAACTTTAAAAATTTAGTTGATTGTAAATGACCTTTTCTAATCGGGGAGTAATTATGACTGTGTGATTTGAAAAGGTAATTTTGAAATTCTAACTATACTGAATTATCTCCAGTATCCTTTTTTATAATATATGCTAGAGTGACTAGTAACAAAAACTTCAGCAGAATATTCTTTCCTTACTACTTTTCAAGTATATGCATTCTTTTGAAGATGTTGAAGTGAGAGATTAAATATCTGAGAACTAAAAAGGAAAAATAATTCAGAACACAGAAATTTTATTAGGATGATAAAGAGCATCTGCAGAGGTAGATCACAGGATGAACTCTTTATTTTTTAACAAAATGAGTTTTAAGATAAATGTCTTTATCTGCAGATGCATCTTAAGATAAGAAAATAAAGAAAAAACAAATGTTAATATGCTGTACAAAAAAATAGAGAAGAATTAGAAAGGAAAGAGAAACAACATAAGAAAGAAGTTGAAGCAAAGCAACTTGAACCAACTGTTCAATCACTAGAGATGAAAACAAAGACTGCAAGAAATACTCCAAATCAGATAAATCAATCTTTGGTAAAAATTCTATATTTTAAACTATTGTATGAAAGTTTCTTCTAATATTCTCTTGATTTAATATATAATATTTAGGTCTAAAACAAACCAGAAATGTTATCTCATTTTTAAAAAATGAATGATGCCACTTACAGGTACAATTATTAATATTTATTATAAATCTTGGCATCCACATAAGATATTATTTTATAACAAAGAGCTTTTGAAAACAATAATATGCCATAGTATATACTTAGTGATAACCTATTGATAAAGATTCTGTTCCCAGTAAAATTGTTCCTTGTACTTTCCCCTATTTCATATTGATTACTGTACCTAATATTATAAAGAGGAAACAAATTATTGCAATCACAAATAATCTCATGATATTCTAAGAAGAGCTCTATAAATTTTATCTTATTTACCATTGGTGTTTTGAAATAAAAGTTTTCTTCCATATGGATATATTTACACCACAGAAGTAACTGTGATATGTCAGAGAACTAGAAGTAGAGTCAGAAGTCCTGGGGAAAATCCTGTAGCTTGCTTATATTTTTAACATTTCTTTTTCAAAATTGTGATAACTAGATGAGTTCATCAATGAATGTATATAGGAGTGACTAGTATAATGTCTAGATTTATGATTTAGTAAATGTAATTCTTACGACTGAATATAAAAGTGTTAAAAGAGTCAAATTGAAATAGAATGTTATCAGCAAAACAGAACTGTAATAACTCTGGGAAATTTTATCTGTCCAAATACGTGTGAACCAAGGTTCTTACTATAGGGTGTTGTATGGGTTAGATATCAAAGTGTAAATGCAATTTTTTGATATATTTTAATTTAGTCAAATTTGTTAATGCTTTAATTTATGCTTTTCAGTTTGTTGTAATTCAAGGAAAGGCTTTTCCAATTCTGAAATTCTTAAAAATTCTCTGGTTTGTGTGTGTGTGTGTGTGTGTGTGTGTGTGTGTGTGTGTTTACTTTTATAAATTCATTGACTTTAAATAAATTTCTGAACTTTTTGGAATTTATGCTCTATAAGGTTCAAAGTGTTGCTTCAACTTTGTCTCCAGTTGGATATCCACTTACAGTAACCTTTTTAGTGTATGGATGTGCAGGTTATTCTTTAACTTCAGAGGTAATCACGATATTTTATTGAGTACTAGCTAAAACTTTCTTTAGTTTTATTTAGGATTTTCATAATCATGAAGAAATGAAAGATCTGATGGATTAAAATTGCATTTTGAATACAGATATTGCTATATTCAGACAGGAAATGTGCACAATGAAAAATGACAACCTGGAAAAAGAAAATAAATAACTTAAGGAAGTTAAAATTGTTAAAGAAACAAATGCTGTCCTTGAAAAGTATATAAAACTCAATGAGGAATTGATAACAATAACAGCATTCCGGTATCAACAAGAGCTTAATGATCTCAAAGCTGAGAATACAAGGCTCAGTTCCGGACTGTTGAAGGAAGAAGAAAGCAACAAAAGACTGGAAGCTGAAACTGAATCTTATCAGTCTAGACTGGCTGCTTCTATAAGTAAACACAGTGAAAGTGTGAAAACAGAAAGAAACCTAAAACTTGCTTTAGAGAGAACTCAAGATGTTTCCGTACAAGTAAAAATGAGTTCTGATATTTCCGAAGTAGAAGATAAGAATGAGTTTCTTACTGAACAACTTTCTAAACCACAAATTAAATTCAATACCTTAAAAGATAAGTTCCGTAAGACAAGAGATACTCTCAGAAAAAAGTTATTGGCTTTAGAAACTGTACATAACAACCTAAGCCAAACACAGCAGCAAATAAAGGAAATGAAAGAGATGTATGAAAATGCAGAAGCTAAAGAGAATAATTCCACTGGAAAGTGGAGCTGTGTAGAAGAGAGAATATGTCAACTCCAACATGAAAATCCGTGCATTGAACAGCAACTAGATGATGTTCATCAGAAAGAGTATCATAAAGAGATAATAACTAATATCCAAAGAAGCTTTATTGAGAGTGGAAAGACCTCATGCTAGAAGAGAAAAATAAGAAGGTAATGAATGAATGTGATCATTTAAAAGAAAGTCTCTTTCAATATGAGAGAGAGAAAGCAGAAAGAGTAGTAAGTATCAAGGAAGATAAATATTTTCAAACTTCTAGAAAGAAAATTTAAACATTTGGTTCTGGATACATGTTGAACTTAGTTGAATATAAAAATCAATAGATAAAAAGTGTGTTTACCATACTGTATAATTCCATGTACGTGAAGCATCCAGAAAAGATAAACGTATAGGGACAAAAAGTAGATTAATATTTGCAAAGGGCTGGGACTAGAAGCTGGTAGTGACTGCTAATGGGCATGAGGGATCTTGCAGTGATGGAAATGCTGTAAAGTTGGATTGTAGAGATGGCTGCACAACTCAGTAAATGGACTAAAAATCTTTTAACTTTAAGTTAAAACAGATACATTCTATAGTATGTAAATTATATTTCAACAAAGCTGTTTTAATAAAAAAAGGAAAAATGTGTTTACTATATCAGCTTAGAAACATGCCTCATTTCTAGGAAATAAAAGGTAGAGATGAGAGATGATTTACTTTGAGAAAAGACATTGTGTCACCTATGAAATTTTATTAGGCACAGAGTCATATTTTAAGATAGATAGTTCTGTACTGCTGAAATAATTTTAATGACTTTATGTTGCCACATGTTAAGACCATAATGTAGGTATAAATGGAAATGTTTACACCTGAAATGAGTATTTTCAAATTAAAATTTAATTAAGTGATTTCCTTCGACACTTAATTCTAGACTTCCCAGATGAACTGAAGTGTATTGCTGTGTCTTGTAATACCTTGCTTTAAGTAGCTTTTTATGTGTTTTTTTTTTTGGTATATCTTTGTTATTATTCATATTAATTTTAAAAATCTGAAAATACTTCAAATTACATATTTTTATGACTACGTAATGTTGTAAAGGCACCTACATGTCATAAAATCATAATTTAGAATGAATGTAATAATTAACAAAACTATGTTTGATTTAGTTTTGCCACTGGTATTTATAGTTTACTTTGACTATTTATATTAATAATTAGCTCATAATTTTTATTTCAAGGCTCAATGACTATCATTGGAATATAATTTTGTTCAGTACAAAGATACTTGTAGCTGCCTGTGATTTATGAGTAAGGCATTAGATCCCCATTTTCAGACTGAGGGGTGGCAGGCTTCACGTACAGTGGGAATGGAGTAATTACAGGAAGGAGTTGTAGGAGCTTTGAAGTCAGAGAGGGAGGTAGAGGACTGTTTACCTAGGGCCTCAAAGGCCATTGGAATTTCACTTTTATCCTGAGATAGGAATCTGTTGGAAGGATTTGAAAAGGTGATTGAATATGTTAGTCACTTTGAGGTTGAGTTGAGCTTCTAAGATGATTGAATGGTGGGATGAACCTGTTGTGTAAGTAAGAGAATACCAATTTGGCAGGGAGTTAAATATTATTAACATAATTTAATAATAAGGCAATTTATAAAATCAGTAACAAAAATATTTTCTCAGGTGGTTGTGAGACAACTTCAACAAGAAGCGGCTGACAGCCTAAAAAAATTAACTACGTTAGAGTCTCCACTGGAAGGTATGTCACATTATCACATTAATTTGGATGAGACACAGGCCCCAAAGAAGAAATTATTTCAAGTGAAAAGTCAAGTGTGTATGGAATTTAACATGTCAACTCTTATTCTGTAGCTAGTTGAGTTTATATAACGTGTTTTAGGATACTAATTTTGGCAGAAGCTTGATTTTTTAGTTTCATTACAATGAATTATTTACATTTTACTATCTTTATAATGTACTTATTTTTTTATATTGTGACTTTCATTCTACCATTTTGAAAAACCATTACATACCTTTTCTGTTACAATATGTACCCTTGGAAAAGTGGAGAATTATATATCATTCCTCATAGAAAACTGACTTTTTTCCTGTAAAAACAGTATTTTTAAGTAATTTTTGTATTGTTCTGATGAGGCAGGCCAGATTAAATCAGAGGAGAATATTTCATGGAAAGTTCCAGAAAGTTGTCTTATTTCTTCACTTTCGTGAATGGACACAGAATCTGTGTCTATTTATTTCACAGACTGCAGGTTAACTTGTACAGAAAGGCCATTATACTATTCTTTGAAATGTGCATGTTTTAGGTTAATTTACAAACTATTTGAAAATTTAGGCATTTTCTTTATCTTTAATTTAAAATATACTATAAAACTCTAAAAATATTTAGATTTGATATAGCATGTAAGTCAAAAATTGAGAGTTGAGAAAATTATCTTGATCCTGCCTTTGGATTTTAAAAACAGTTTCACTGAGATATCATTCACATTTGAGAGAGTTCAACCATTTAAAATGTACAACTGAGTATCTATTAGTATATTCACAGCATTTTCATCACCCTGAAAAGCAACCCCACATCTCCTAGGCATGACTGCAGCCTTCCTCCATGTCCCTCCACCTACCCCTGTTGTAGGCAACCACCATCTATCTACTTTTGTCTCCATATATTTACCTGTTCTGTATATTTCGTATACATAGCGTTATACAATATGTAGTCCTTTGTGACTGGCTTTTTCACTTAGCATAATGCTTTCAGAATTCATGCATGTTTTAGCACACATGAGTAGTTTATTTCTTCTTATAGTTAAATGATGTACTATTCCATGGCTATACTGGTTTTCCATTCATTCATCAGTTGATGGACCTTTAAGTTAGTTTCCACTTTTTAGCTATTATGAACAATGCTGCTGCGAACATTCACTTACAGGTTATTATGTGGACACGGGTTTTTATTTCCCTGCCATTGGACTTTATCCTCAGAGTTAATTGGGCAGATTTCAGCACTTGTCTTGCTCATGCTATCCTTTCTGCCTTCTCAGTTTCTGTTCATCTAGCCTCATTCACTCAGACGTGGCAGACAATTTATTGTTTTCATGAAGCTTTCTCTGACTGTTCTCTCGTTGACCTTATGTGTTAGCAATCGTTGTCTAGTCTGTGCAGAAAAACTTAGTCCTTAATTTTACATGGCTTTTATTTTTTTATGGAAGATAATTTTCTCTCATTATAAATTTGCTTAATGGGGGAATAGTATATAATATGTATGTCACCTATCCTTGCATACATTGAAAATATTTTAGCTTAGAAGTTTGTAGCATAGAATTCAATACTTCTTTATACCATACCAATTATTTCTTCTTTGAGACCTTGACACAGTAAGGTTTATATTCTAAGTGTATTTTTAGCAATTAAATATCAAAGCCAACCCAATTAGTCTAATACAGGAGACTCGTTCAATCACATGTTTATGTTTTTCTCTCTATGAAAAAGAATCTAAATTGGCCTTTTTTCACTATGCAGCAGAACTGTGTTTCTGGACCTCTACCAGTTTGTCAGCTGAGCAGTTCTGGCTGCAGCTTGTCTGTTGATGGATAGCACAGCCCCTCTATCTGAGTGCTCAGCAGAGTGCTTGTGAAGGCAGCACCACAGCAACAGTTGCTCAGAGCGAACGGATTCAGGAGCCTCAATTTAGCAATAGAGTCCAGGGTTTTCAGCTCAGTGTCTTTAGCCTGTCTCTGCTGGTCATGTCAGTTATGTTCTATTCAATCCAGGAGGTGCTGTTTACGTTGTAGTACATATATAGTCATTGCCTAATGAGTCATACAGAGAGAAAAGTAAGTTATAAATTATGTCCCCCATTTGCTGCAACTCTCAGTGGTAAGAATGATTCAGTGCAGCTATAGGAGAATACTTCCATTGGCATGCCACCTGCCTAACTTACACAATTTTGTTAAGATATGCAATAAAATTATTATGCTAATAGCAAATATTTTATGTAGCTCACTATGTTCCACGTAGTCTTCTAAGTGCTTCATGTTAGTCCCAAGTTAAACACCTGGTTTTGGAAGGCTGAGGCAGGAGGATCGCTTGAGCCCAGGAGTTTGAAACCAGCCAGAGCAATATGGTGAGACCCGGTCTCTAAAAAAAAAAAAAAAAAAAAATTAAACACTTAGCTGAGGCATGGTGATGCATGCCTATAGTCCCAGCTACATTGGGAGGCTGTGGTAGGAGGGTCGTTTGAGCTTGGAATATTGAGGCTGTAGTGAACGGTGATCAAGCCACTGCACTCCAGGCTGGGTAACAGAGGGAGACTCTGTCTCATAAATAAAACATTTTCTATAGATTCCCATAGAAGTGAGTTAGACATCAGTCATAGAATTATTAGCCACTTTGATGTCTACCTTGGGAGTAAAACATATAATAAGGGGCAGCTTTAAACCATCTCAATCAATAGCCTCCAACTTCTTGAGAAGGTTCTTATTTCATGAACTTCTAAACAAGAGACTACCTGGATTAAGACATTTGGTGGACACCATTTTGAGATGAAGAATATTGAGTGAGAAGAAGGGAGATCTCTACTTACTGAAGCTTCCCAATGACATAGTTAAGTGTCCCCCAAAAGAAACTTTAGAACAAGACTTTCATCATGCCACATCTCTATGGAAAAGGAATTTCTTTAAAAGAAAATAAAGGCAAACAATTGATAATCTGATTCTCATGGGAAAGTTTTCATTATAAAAGAAAAAGAGTGCTGGGTGCCGTGGCTCACTTCTGTAATCCCAACACTTTTGGAGGCTGAGGTGGGTGGATTACCTGAGGTCAGCAGTTCAAAAACAGCCTGGACAACATAGTGAAAACCTGTCTCTACTGAAAATACAAAAATTAACCAGGTGTGTTGGTGTGCACCTGTAGTCCCAGCTACTTGGGAGGCCGAGGCAGGAGAATCACTTGAACCCAGGAGGTGGAAGTTGCAGTAAGCCAAGATGGTGCCACTGCACTCCAGCCTGGATGACACAGTGTGACTCCATCTCAAAAAAAAAAAAAAAGAAAAAAAGAAAAACAAAAAAGGGACAAAGTATACTGGTCCAAAAAAGAAGAAAGCAAGAAAAAAAGGACAAAGTATACTGGTTAGTATCATAACAGTGAGATAGTCCCCCTTTGAGATTAGACAATAACAGTATACTCAAAGTAACATTAATGAGAACCAACATAAAATAGACAAGATTCACTATCTACAAAAGTAATCTGCACCAATTAGCAATGTATGAGCATGTGGTTGAGAATATTGTCTATAATATGTGTACTAGAAGGAAGAGACCTCAAGAAAATGGTCAGAGCTGGAAATGTAGATTTGGGAATCTAGGTCAAAGTTTTGAGATTTAAGGAGTCCTGAGAGAATTTAAAAAGAGAATTAGCCAACAGGCATGGTGGGCCACACCTGTAATCCCAGCACTTTGGGAGGCCAAGGCAGGCAGATCATGAGGTCAGGAGTTCAAGACCAGTCTGACCAGCATAGTGAAACCCTGTCTCTACTAAAAATACAAAAAATTAGCTGGACATGGTAGCACATGCCTGTAATCCTAGCTACTAGGGAGGCTGAGGCAGGAGAATCGCTTGAACCCAGGAGGTGGAGGTTGCGGTGAGCCAAGATCATGCCACTGCACTCCAACCTGGGTGACAGTGGGAGACTCCATCTCAAAACAAAAAACAAAAACAAAACAAAAAACCAGAAAAGGACAGGGCTGAAGAACACAGGTCGCTACATTTAGAAAGGAGGCTGGGTCAGAGGAATAGAAAGGGATAGGCCTGAAGAACACAGGTCGCTGCATTTAGAAAGGAGGCGGGGTCAGAGGAATAGAAAGGGATAGGGCTGAAGAACACAGGTCGCTGCATTTAGAAAGGAGGCGGGGTCAGAGGAATAGAAAGGGACGGGGCTGAAGAACACAGGTCGCTGCATTTAGAAAGGAGGCGGGGTCAGAGGAATAGAAAGGGATGGGCCTGAAGAACACAGGTCGCTGCATTTAGAAAGGAGGCGGGGTCAGAGGAATAGAAAGGGATAGGCCTGAAGAACACAGGTCGCTGCATTTAGAAAGGAGGCGGGGTCAGAGGAATAGAAAGGGATAGGGCTGAAGAACACAGGTCGCTGCATTTAGAAAGGAGGCGGGGTCAGAGGAATAGAAAGGGATAGGCCTGAAGAACACAGGTCGCTGCATTTAGAAAGGAGGCGGGGTCAGAGGAATAGAAAGGGATAGGCCTGAAGAACAGAGGTCGCTGCATTTAGAAAGGAGGCGGGGTCAGAGGAATAGAAAGGGATAGGCCTGAAGAACAGAGGTCGCTGCATTTAGAAAGGAGGCGGGGTCAGAGGAATAGAAAGGGATAGGGCTGAAGAACACAGGTCGCTGCATTTAGAAAGGAGGCGGGGTCAGAGGAATAGAAAGGGACAGGGCTGAAGAACACAGGTCGCTGCATTTAGAAAGGAGGCGGGGTCAGAGGAATAGAAAGGGATAGGACTGAAGAACACAGGTCGCTGCATTTAGAAAGGAGGCGGGGTCAGAGGAATAGAAAGGGACAGGGCTGAAGAACACAGGTCGCTGCATTTAGAAAGGAGGCGGGGTCAGAGGAATAGAAAGGGATAGGGCTGAAGAACACAGGTCGCTGCATTTAGAAAGGAGGCGGGGTCAGAGGAATAGAAAGGGACAGGGCTGAAGAACACAGGTCGCTGCATTTAGAAAGGAGGCAGGGTCAGAGGAATAGAAAGGGACGGGGCTGAAGAACACAGGTCGCTGCATTTAGAAAGGAGGCGGGGTCAGAGGAATAGAAAGGGATAGGGCTGAAGAACACAGGTCGCTGCATTTAGAAAGGAGGCGGGGTCAGAGGAATAGAAAGGGATAGGACTGAAGAACACAGGTCGCTGCATTTAGAAAGGAGGCGGGGTCAGAGGAATAGAAAGGGACAGGGCTGAAGAACACAGGTCGCTGCATTTAGAAAGGAGGCGGGGTTAGAAGAATAGAAAGGGATAGGCCTGAAGAACACAGGTCGCTGCATTTAGAAAGGAGGCGGGGTCAGAGGAATAGAAAGGGATAGGCCTGAAGAACAGAGGTCGCTGCATTTAGAAAGGAGGCGGGGTCAGAGGAATAGAAAGGGATAGGGCTGAAGAACACAGGTCGCTGCATTTAGAAAGGAGGCGGGGTCAGAGGAATAGAAAGGGACGGGGCTGAAGAACACAGGTCGCTGCATTTAGAAAGGAGGCGGGGTTAGAGGAATAGAAAGGGATAGGCCTGAAGAACACAGGTCGCTGCATTTAGAAAGGAGGCGGGGTCAGAGGAATAGAAAGGGATAGGCCTGAAGAACACAGGTCGCTGCATTTAGAAAGGAGGCGGGGTCAGAGGAATAGAAAGGGATAGGCCTGAAGAACACAGGTCGCTGCATTTAGAAAGGAGGCGGGGTCAGAGGAATAGAAAGGGATAGGCCTGAAGAACACAGGTCGCTGCATTTAGAAAGGAGGCGGGGTCAGAGGAATAGAAAGGGATAGGCCTGAAGAACACAGGTCGCTGCATTTAGAAAGGAGGCGGGGTCAGAGGAATAGAAAGGGATAGGCCTGAAGAACAGAGGTCGCTGCATTTAGAAAGGAGGCGGGGTCAGAGGAATAGAAAGGGATAGGGCTGAAGAACACAGGTCGCTGCATTTAGAAAGGAGGCGGGGTCAGAGGAATAGAAAGGGACAGGGCTGAAGAACACAGGTCGCTGCATTTAGAAAGGAGGCGGGGTTAGAGGAATAGAAAGGGATAGACCTGAAGAACACAGGTCGCTGCATTTAGAAAGGAGGCGGGGTCAGAGTAATAGAAAGGGATAGGCCTGAAGAACAGAGGTCGCTGCATTTAGAAAGGAGGCGGGGTCAGAGGAATAGAAAGGGATAGGGCTGAAGAACACAGGTCGCTGCATTTAGAAAGGAGGCGGGGTCAGAGGAATAGAAAGGGACGGGGCTGAAGAACACAGGTCGCTGCATTTAGAAAGGAGGCGGGGTTAGAGGAATAGAAAGGGATAGGCCTGAAGAACACAGGTCGCTGCATTTAGAAAGGAGGCGGGGTCAGAGGAATAGAAAGGGATAGGCCTGAAGAACACAGGTCGCTGCATTTAGAAAGGAGGCGGGGTCAGAGGAATAGAAAGGGATAGGCCTGAAGAACACAGGTCGCTGCATTTAGAAAGGAGGCGGGGTCAGAGGAATAGAAAGGGATAGGCCTGAAGAACACAGGTCGCTGCATTTAGAAAGGAGGCGTGGTCAGAGGAATAGAAAGGGATAGGCCTGAAGAACAGAGGTCGCTGCATTTAGAAAGGAGGCGGGGTCAGAGGAATAGAAAGGGATAGGCCTGAAGAACACAGGTCGCTGCATTTAGAAAGGAGGCGGGGTCAGAGGAATAGAAAGGGATAGGGCTGAAGAACACAGGTCGCTGCATTTAGAAAGGAGGCGGGGTCAGAGGAATAGAAAGGGATAGGGCTGAAGAACACAGGTCGCTGCATTTAGAAAGGAGGCGGGGTCAGAGGAATAGAAAGGGACAGGGCTGAAGAACACAGGTCGCTGCATTTAGAAAGGAGGCGGGGTCAGAGGAATAGAAAGGGATAGGGCTGAAGAACACAGGTCGCTGCATTTAGAAAGGAGGCGGGGTCAGAGGAATAGAAAGGGACAGGGCTGAAGAACAGAGGTCGCTGCATTTAGAAAGGAGGCGGGGTCAGAGGAATAGAAAGGGATAGGGCTGAAGAACACAGGTCGCTGCATTTAGAAAGGAGGCGGGGTCAGAGGAATAGAAAGGGACAGGGCTGAAGAACACAGGTCGCTGCATTTAGAAAGGAGGCGGGGTCAGAGGAGCAGAGGGAGCATTTGGTCACTGCTCTGGTGAGTACAGCAGAATAAAGTCCTTCATGACCCTTGGACTTTTTTATTGGGATTATTAAAAATCAGATTTCAGTATAAAAAACACCATAATTGATGAAAAATAGATTTCTGAATGAGACCATGTGCCATAGAGTCCAATGGAAGGGGAGAAACAGGATAATAGAAAAGCCACAAAAAGTAGACAAAAGTTGTTTTATTATAGGAAAAATATACTTTATTTAAAGAGAAATGGTTAAGAGAAAGGGAAAAACTGAAACCTATGGGTGAATACTTAGAATGACAGTATTAACTCAACCTGAAGACAGATGAGGATGAAAAATGTAATGGGAACTAGATAAGAGTTTTTTAAAAATTGTCTTAGTAAGATGTAATTTAAGAAAACTTGGAATATCTTAAACTATTAAAGACAATATTTCTAGAGCATCTTTAAAAACTAAAATGTAAATATAACTACTCTTTTTTTTTAACTAACCCTTAGTATTTTGTGTGTAAAAACCCTCATTTGTAACAAACATTGTTGGCAGTTTAAATTTCAGAAAAGATAACGATGAAAATTTGAAACACTTATTGCAGTTTTAAGAAAAGTGACTATTTTTGAAATCTGCCCTTATTGGCATCAGGTTTACCAAATGCACTTTATACACCTGCCTAAATACATATTACTCATCCACTTATGAGAAATAATATTTTTGAGATAAAAGAGGGACTCTAGATTTTACAAAAATAATTTTAAACACTTTTTTAAGCCTGAAGAAAAAAATGAAGAATTAAGAAAACTTTTTGAGTTAATATCATCACTGGAGTACAATGTGGATCGAATAGGAAAGAAAAGTCATGATTTAGAAGAAGAAGCAACTGGGCATGGATGGTTTTCATATTGTAGAACATGTTAACCACTTATTAATTGATTTAACTCTAATTTTACTTGACTAAAACCTAGATACAAATTCATTTTAAGTTTGCATTTTCATAATTAAATGAATTCTATTTTAAAATGTATTTCAGAAACTCACAGCACAACTTTTTAGACATGTGTGTCATGGGGGCGGGAGTCAGCTGAGCTGCTGGGGCAAGGTGAAATTTTTTTTGAATGCCAAAATATTTTTTTTTTCTTTTTGAGAAAGAGTCTGGCTCTGTTTCCCAGGCTGGAGTGCAATGGCACGGTCTTGGCTCACTGCAACCTATGCCTCCAAGCAATTTTCCTGCCTCAGCCTCCTGAGTAGCTGGCATTACAGGCATGTGCCACCACGCCCAGCTAATTTTTGTATTTTTAGTAGAGATGGGGTTTTGCCAAGTTGATCAGGCTGGTCTTGAATTCCTGACCTCGTGATCTGCTGCCTCGGCCTCCCAAAGTGACGTGAGCCACCATGCCCGGCCACTTATTCTTTCATGATTTTGAAAACAATGACCAAGCCTTGGACATATAATGTCCAGTGCACTCTTCATTATCTAGTTTGAATTTTTATTTCTGAAGATATGTTTTGCTGTCTGTGGTCATTTTTTCTTCCTTTTGTAGTATCCTCTGCTGCATTCAAATTTCTTAAAGAAGACTTGTTTGTGTCATTCTTTAACATCAAATTTATCTTGATATGTAGCTTATATTTTGTTTCTGCTTCTTCTTTCTTTTAGATATAAAACATATCATGGAAATTTACTCATTGTAGATGAGTACCTCTGTTGTATACATGAAGTATACATGTTATTAAACTTGTTTACATAAATAAATTTCATATATATAAATATATGTATAACTTGAATAAAAAGTAAAATGAACATTTATGTTTTGATCACAGATTTTTTTTAAAACAACGGAATCTGTCTTTGAAGCCTTGAACACAGCTACTTTTCTATTTATTTACTGAGCACTTAATTTGGTTTTCTGATTCGAATCAACATTTTTCTGTCATTGCCTTTCTCTACATGGTTTTGTGTCTCTTTAATTTTGTTGACATTATGTCAGCAAAGATGTCTAGATCTCTTCTTCAAAGTCTTTAAATCGTCACACATCTCTCCGCCCCTTTCCTTTTTTCTAAAACTGCCTGTTTCCTTTTTCTCCTCAACTCAGATATTAAAGATGTTTTCTTCTCTTTTTCTACATTGAAAGATCTCCTTGATGCTTTTTGTGTGTACTTTTTTTTCTCTGATAGACTGTGGTCAATGCATATCAAAATGTATTTTTTGTCTTTTTCAAACGTATGTGTTTTACTTTTTTAACTTGGTTACTTATCTCTGGGTTATGGCTTATATTTAGTAATAGGTTATTTTACCTAGCATACCAACATGGATATGAGTAGTTTATTTACAAAAAGTGTACAGTTAGGCCAGGTGTGGTGGCTCACACCTGTAATCCCAGCACTTTGGGAGAGCAATGTGGGTGGATCATTTGAGGTCAAGAGTTCAAGACCAGTCTGACCAGTGAAACCTCATCTCTACTTAAAATACAAAATGAGCCAGACGTAGTGGTACACACCTGTAATCCCAGCCACTTGGGAAGCTGAGACAGGTGAATCACTTGAATTCAGGAGGCAGAGGTTGCAGCGAGCTGAGATCACTCCATTGCACTTTGGCCTGGGCAACAAGAATGAAATTCCATCCAAAACAAAACAAAACAAAACAAAAACACTGTATGTTTATAATATCACTTTACCTGCCATATATGACATAAAATTGTTCTTCATATTATTTATCTAAGATTATAATTTCATATAGAATGCTTTTAAACTATGTTCAGTTGAAACTGAAAGGAACATAGTTTATAGATTTGTTTCCTTGATATGCCATAACATATATTTAAACAATTATTAAATATTTACTCTTAAAAATACTTGACTTACTAATTCTGTACATTTCTGCAGATATAAACGCCTCCTGGAAATGACAATAAATATGTGAAATGTATTTGGAAATGAAGACGTTGGTTGCCATGGAGACTTAAAAACAGATCAACTGAAAATGGATATTCTGATTAAGAAGCTAAAACAGAAGGTAATTTTAAAAAAATTATATTATCTTAAGGTCTAGATTACGTGTGTGAGATGTGCGGGTTTGTTATATAGGTAAACATGTGCCATGGTGGTTTGCTGCACCTATCAATCCATCACCTAGATATTAAGCCCTGAAGGCATTAGTTATTGATGTTGATGCTCTCCCTCCTGACCCCAACAGGCCCCAGTGTTTTTTGTTCCCCTCCCCGAGTCCATGTGTTCTTATAGTTCAGCTCCCACTTATAAGTGAGAAGATGCAGTGTTTGGTTTTTTCTTCCTGCAGTAGTTTGCTGAAGATATCAGCTTCGGGTTCATCCATATCCTTGCAAAGAGCACGATCTCATTCATTTTTATGGCTCCATAGTATTCCATGCTGTATATATACCACATTTTCTTTATCCCATTATCACTGATAATGTCCACCTGGGTTGATTCCATGTCTTTACTATTGTGAATAGTGCTGCAGTGAACATACAAATGCATGTATCTTTATAATAGAATAATTTATATTCCCATGTATGGTAATTTTAAATCAGTTTTGGTATTAAAAATCATGCATTTTGGAAAATATTGATAATGGAAAAACCCAAATTCTGCCAAAATATGTTGAGAAAATAGAGGGTAAATATATCTTTTCAAACTTTAAATGCCTCAGGCTCTTAGTTAATCTTCCCCAGATCTGGGAAGACCTAGAAGGGGAGAGATTGGGCTACCTTAATGAGGGCCATTTCAATCTCTTGTCCTGCAGCAGCCATTTCAAAATACGTCAAAAAATATATTTGGGGGTAAAATATTTTGATTTCCTTCAGCCTCTTCTCTCTGTGATGCTGCACCAGAATCAGATTAGAAAGGAAGCCACATTATAAGTGTTAATAAAACCCATCTGATGAGATTTGATAGTTTGAAGGGTGTGTTTCCCAGACCCTTTAGATAGAATGTGGGGCCAAAGAAAACAAGGTCTTATTCCTCTATATAAATCTGTCAGTGCTTTAAGCAGTGAAAGAAAGATTTTTCATTTAATTTTACAGACTTGAAACTAATGAAAAGGATAGCTTGTAAAATATAAATCTCTTTTTCTATAAAAAGGACATGTTGTTGATTCTCTTAGACCTTGAACCCTGGCCAGTGATTTGAAACCAAGCAGTACCTATCTCCGGATCTCTAGTACCAAATTAATTCGGGGTGGGGGGGTAACAGGTTTATTGAGAAATAATGAACACACCATGCAATTCATTCATTTAAAGTATACAATTCATTAACTTTAGTATTTTCAGAGTTATGCCGTCATCATTACAATTAATTTTAGAACATTTTCATCACCCTAAAAACAAACCCCACATCATTTAGCCATCTTCACTAGTTTTCCCTTCCTCCCTCAGCCCTAGGGAACCACCCAGCTTCTTTGTATAGATTTGCCTATAAGCCTCTGAAATAAAAAGCAAGTGGTCTGCTGGGACTGGCTTATTTCACTTAGCATAATTTTTCATGCTGCATCTGTGCTGTAGCAGGTATGGATGCCGGGTTTTTGCTCCTTAGTTCAGCTACATCTGGGTTCTTCTCTCGTGACCAGGAAAAATTAAGCATGCAGACACATTGAGGAGGGCAGAATTTATTATGTGAAAGGACAGCTCTCAGCAAAGAGAGGGGTCCTGCAAACAGGTTTCCACCTCACAATTGAATACCAGGAGCACATGAGCTGAAGCGGCCAGGCTCCTCCTCTGCATAAGGCGTGAATTCCTGGTGACTCCACCCCATCCCCCCACTGCATGTGGGCCTCCGGTCTGCTGCGGGCATGTCCAGGCAAGACAAGTCCAGCTTCCCTTATCTGCACATAACATCTGGTGTAAACACTTGTGGAGCTGGTTGGAGATTCTCCGGGGACCCTTCCGTATCTGCCTAGGCATTTTGCTGTCTCCTCCTAATACGGTATCTGTACTTAATTTCTTCTTATTGCTGAGTAATAATCCATTGTATGGATACATCAAACATTTTATTTATCCATTCGCCAGGTGATGGGACCTTTGGGTTCTCTCCCACCCAAAGGTGACAGACGTTCTGGTTCTTTCCACCTTTTGACTACTATTAATAATGCTGCTGTAAACATTTATGTATGAGTTTTTGTGCTTGTGTATGTTTTTATTTTTCTGGAGTATATACTTATGACTGGAATTTCTGTGTCATATGGTAACTTTATGCTTAACCCTTTAAGGAGCTGCCAGTTTGTTTTCCAAAGTGGCTGCATCACTTTACATTCCCAGCAGCATTAGATAAGGGTTTTAATTTCTTTACATTTTTTTCTAACCCTCTTTTTTCTTGAACAAAGATTTTATCCTGTGGTGTGAAGTGATACCACATGTGGTTTTGATTTACATTTTCCTAATGACTAATTACATTAAGCATCTATTAATGTGCTTATCCATCTTTATATCTGCTTTGCAGATATATCTATTCAAAATCTTTTACCATTTTTTAAAATTGGCTTATCTTGTTATTTATTAATTGCAAGAGTTATTTATATTTCCTATATATGTAAGTCCCTTATCAGATACACGCTTTTCAAATACTTTCTTCTACTTGGCGTCTTACCTTTTCACTTCTTCATACTGTCTTCTGAGGCACAGTAGTTTTCAATTTTGAAGTCCATTGAATCCATTTTTCCTTTGGAGTCATAGCTAAGAAAACACTGGCAAATGCTGTCACAAAGATTTATGCCAGTGTTTTCTTCTGAGGGTTTTATAGTTTTAGCTTTTACAGTTAACTATTTTATTTTGAGTTAATTTTTAAATAAGATATTTGGTCGAACTTTATTTACTTTTTCTTATGGATACCCAGTTGTCCCAGCACCATTTGTTGAAAAGACTATTCTTTTCCCATTGTATTCTTTCGTTAAGTTTGTATAAAATCAATTGACTGTAAAAGTGCAAGCTTATTTTTAGATTGTCAATTCTTAGCTTCTTTATGTCTATTCTTATGTCAAAGCCCAATCGAATTGAATGAGAAGTTTTTTTCAATCATGTTGCATATTACCAGTTGTCTTATGTCATAATAAAAATTAAATTTAGTGGAATATCTGTAACTTCACCTTTTGTGTCACAAAGGAGTCTCTGGCCAGCTTATACCTTACTTCGTCTAAGACATGATCAGACGCCAGGCTTACAAGACACATTTAATTTCTTTTTTTCTCCATTCAAGCCTTTAGTCTCTTTTCCATTGCCTCCCGCTATAGTTATATTTTCAGTAAGTTTTGGTCGCAGGATCTGCTGACATAGTCTAATATTTAGTGCATTATGTTTTACTAACTCATTATAATTCATAGAACCTTCCATAGATGTTTACCATCGAGGAAGGAGAAGTTTAAGTCTGAACCACCAGCTTTCCTCAGTGGAAATCAAGTGAAGTCATCATCTTGCAGTTTACAGACCCTCTTTCCTCCTGGTAGCTGGTTCTCTTGGGTAGTACTGTAGCTAATCCTTTTCTTAGTGCAGATCTTGCATTCTCAGAGACCACAGTTCCCTGTATTGACCTCCTTTTACTGAAACAGAGATGCACAGCTCTGCTTTCTAGCTCAGTAGAGGATTCTTGGAATAAAACGTTTAACTCATTCCAAGAAAAAGTCTTAGGAGTGCAGCACTTCAAAATCAGGTAATGTTCAGGCAATTTATCAGAGACACATAGTAGGTTAGTATTTTGACTTTCAAAATTTCGGAGCCAAGTTGTGTGCTATAGAGAAGCATTGTGGCATAACATAGAGATGGGATGGTCTTAACTTCTCCATACAAACAAGCTTGGAGTAAGGTAAAGGAGAAATTGCATTTGATGTCTTAACACTCAAAACACACTATGCTTATTTTACTTCTGTGAAGACTAAAAATCATTCCATAATCTCCTTATTTGCTCATTTAGAAAAGAAAATGAAAATTGAATACTAGGTTGATTAATAAACACTCAAAGCTTCTTCTTTTAGAATTTTAGTTAATTGAAATCAGGTAAATGTCTGATTTTGCCTATGTCACCAAGTATTTCTAGTTGTTTTTCAAATCATACATCTTCTTGCTTCCCAGTCTTATTTCCTAACTTGAGGGGAAATTGTAAGGAGACATCCTTGCCTTGTTATCAGAGTTCATAATTGAAGGAGTTTTAGGAAAATTCCTCCTCAGCAGCTTATGTCTCTCTCCTGGTTATCTGCTGCTTCTCAATAATGTTTGACATCAATAAATAAATCTCAACATTTATTAGATCCTACTTTAAAGGAGACTTTTCTGCTGCATAAGTTATGTTTCCTGTTGTCTCTTTTTAAAAGTTATTTTTCTAACAATTACCCAGAGTCTTGTGGCTTGAAAGAAAAACATTTATTTTGTTCATGAACCTGTGGTTTGGGAAAAACTTGTCCAGAACAGCTTGTCTCTGCTCCCTTCAGCTTCCCTAGGAAGAGCTGATCAGTTGGGGAAATGGAATCCTCTGAAGCTTTGGTCACCCACTTGTTTGATGGTTGATGCTGGCCATCGGCTGTAAACTTGGTTGGGACAGGCAGCATGAACACTGACACAGGCACTTTCAGGCCCTCACAATTGGGGCTGGGTTCCAAGGGAAAACAGTCTGAGATAGGGAAGCCACATGGTATCCCTTTCACTACATTCTACTCATTAGAAGGAAGTCAGTAAGGCTGGCCCACATTCTGCTTTTTAAATGGGATGAATGTAGCTTCTCTTTTGTTTTAATTGACACATATATACATAATTATGGGCTATAGAGTGATATTTTTATACATGTATATAGTGTGTAATGATCAAGCTAACTAGCACATTTACTACTTCAACCATTGTTCATTTCTTTGAATTGTGAACATTCAAAATCTTCTGGCTTTTTAAAAATATACAATAAGTCGTAGTTAACCATATTCACCCTACAATGCCACAGAACACCAGAACCCACTCCTCTTATCTAACTGTAATTCTGTATCCATTAACCAGCCTCACCTCCCCTACTTCTGTGAGCTTTTTTTTGTTAAGAGACAGGGTCTTGCTAGTGTAGTCTTGGCTCTGGGCAACTGTAGTCACCCAGACTGGAGACAGTGGTTTGATCATAGTTCACTGCAGCCTCAAACTCTTGGGCCCATCTGATCCTCACACCTCAGCCTCCTGAGCAGCTGGCATTATGGGCATGCACCATTGCACATGTCTGATTTTTGACTTTGTAGAGATATCTCCCTATGTTTCCCAGGGAGCTCTGGAACTTTTGGCCTCAAATGATTCTCTTGCCTTGGTCTTACAAAGAGCTAGGAAATTACAGGCATCAGCCATATTGCCCAGCCTTCAATTTTCCTTTAGCTCCCACACATGAGTAAGAATGTGCAGTATTTATCTTTCTGTGTCTGCACTTAACATAACATCTGTCAGACTGATCCACGTGGCCACGAATAACAGGATTTAATTCCTTTATACGGTGAATAGTATTCCACTGTGTTTGTGTGCCACAGTTTTTCGTCCATTCATTTGGTGATGGACATGTAGGTTGATTCCATACACAAGCTGTTGTGGATAGTGCTACAGTAAACATATGAGGACAGGTATCCTTTTGATCTATTGTTTTCTTTTCTATTGCCTGAATACCCAGTAGTGGGGTTGCTGGATCCCTCGGCAGTCCCATTATTAGTTTTTTTGAGAAAACCTCCTGTTGTTCTCTATAGTGGCTGCACTAATTTACCTTCCCACCAACAGCATGTAAGAGTTTACTGTTCTCTGGAGCCTCACGAGCATTTGTTATTTTTTTTGTCTTTTCAATGACAGCAATTTATTCAAATTGAAGCAAGATTATATCACATTGTAGATTTGATTTGTATTTCCCTGAGGATTAGTGATACTGAGCATTTTAAAATTTATTTATTGGTTATTTGTATTTCTTTTTCTAAAAAAAAGTATAGTTATATATTTTGCCCAAATTTGAACTCAGATTTTTATTACTGTGAAGTTGTTTGAGTTTTTTTGTATATTTTGTATATTAGTCCCTTATTAGGTGAATAGCTTGACAATATTTTCTCCTATTCTACAGGTTTTTTCTTCACTCAGTTGTTTGCTGGACAGAAGCTCTTTAGCTTAATGTAGTGTCATTTGTCTATGATTTGTTGTTTGCCTATGCTTCTGATGTCTTACCCATAAAAATCTTTGTGCAGACTAATGTCCTCAAGCATTTTCCCTATATTTACTTAGAGTAGTTTGATAATTTTGGGCCTTACATTTCAGTCTTCAATCGATTCTGAGTTTATGTTGTTATATGGTGTTACATAGGAAGCTAATATCATTCTTCTCCATATGGATATTTAGTTTTCACAGTGTCATTCATTTGAAGAGGCTGTCCTTTCCCCAGCGTATGTTCTTGGCATGTTCGTCCAAAATCAGTTGGCTGGAAATATGTGGATTTATTTCTGGGTGCCGTATTCTATGGTCTTTACCCCAAGAATCATTACTTCTTAAAATGCAATTCAAATTAGCATGAAACATTTGCAGTTTAAGGAAAGGCTTATAGCATCAGAATCCTTAATCATAGATTTCATTATTTTGTGTTGTTTTTTGAGATAGGGTCTTTGTCTGTCATCCAGGCAGAAGTGCAGTGATAATAATTCACTGCAGCCCTGAACTCTGGGTACAAGCCATCCTTTTGCCTCAGTATCCCAACTAGCTGGTTCTACAGGATTGAGCCACCATGCCCGGGTAATTAAAAAAATTTTTTTTGTAGAGATGGGGGTCTCACTATGTTGCTCTGGCTGATCTCAAATTCCTGGCCTCAAGTGATCTTTCTGCCACAGCTTTTTAAAGTGCTAGGATTACAGGCATGAGCCACCATGCCTAATATAGTGTGTAATATTATTTTCAAAGTCTTATTCCTAGGCCCATTTATTGACTTTGGCCTAAATAACTCAATATGATATCTCTGAAACTTTTTTTGACATACTGTGGGGAATGATAATGAAGGAAGGGGGTTAGACACTTTTTACTAGGAGATAACTTTGTGCCATTTAAGGAGGAACAAAAATGAATTATGGAAAAATAAAAGTAAAATGAAGTACAAAAATTCTGTGGCAAAGATGATGATAGTAAAGAATATATTTTTATGACTCATGGTAGCTTTAACTTTGTTCTTAAAATTCTGAGTAATTTCAGGGTTCACATTTGAAGAATCTGCTGCATTACAGATAACATTTTATTGCAAGTAAATGCATTTCAAAATTTGCTATTGGTTTTGTATTAGATTATTCTCAGCCTACTTCATTATCAAGCTATACTATTTTATTCATGCAGTTTGATAATCTTATGGCGGAGAAGGAAGCTGTATCTTCAAAATGTGTCAATTTGGCTAAAGAGAATCAAGTTTTTCAACAGGAGTTATCTATGAAAAAAGCACAACAGGAATGTGAAAAATTTGAGGAGGATAAAAGATGTTGGAAGAAGAAATATTAAATCTTAAGACACATATGGAAAACAGTATGGTAGAACTTAGTAAACTACAAGAATATAAATCAGAGCTAGATGAAAGGGCAATGCAGGCAGTAGAAAAATTAGACGAAATACATTTACAGGTGAGTTGTTTAAATCAGGTAAGTTTACTTGTAATGTGCTTTCATTTATTTCACTTCAAATTATATTTTTATAGTGTTTCCTCTGCCTCTCTTGTAGCAATCTGCTTTGTAGAGTTCTAGAAAAAAATGGTATCTCTTTTTTCTTTTAAATATTTAAATTTCCATTATTATTATAACAAAATCAATCTTTCAGAGTAATGATTCTCATTATGGAGTCATTTGATGATTAAGACCAGTTGGCATAGGAAGAAATTGTGATTTAGAAATTATGTGATAATTATGAATTGGTCTTAAGCTACAGTGTTCATTGATCACTTTTTCAAATTACGAATGGATTCTATTACTTTTTATATGACCAGATTACATTAATACTAGCATAATTATGATTTCAAATTTTTACAAATCAGACTTAATTCTGAATTC